>NC_000017.11:8824444-8975959 GCF_000001405.40 Homo sapiens | reverse complement strand
CTCAGTTATCCCTGTGGTTCCCCAGGTCTGTCTTACAGTGGTGACTGTGCTGGGGTCAGTCTCCTTGTGTTCCCCAAGGTACAAGGCTTAGTGATTTCAAAGCAATGCTTTTCCACAGGCCTACAGGGGCCAGAGCCATGGCATGTTCTTGCCCCTTTCACTTGGTTTCTCGGCCCTTAATGAAAAGGTCTTTTTGCTTCTTCCTGAAGCTTTTTCTCCATAAAGTTCAACCTGTGAGGGGGACCTGGGATAGAGATCACACTCCCATTGGTAGCAACAGCAAGGGACTGGCTTGGGAGAGATGTGGGTGCAGGTTGGCCCTATCTCCTTCAGCTCCTCCCCAAACATCCAATCTAAATTTTGCAATGGGGACGCATCAGTCAGACTCTACCCATCTCCTATGGTGACATGCTGGAATTTCCACTAGAGGTCACTCCCCATCTCACACCCCAGGGCCCACCCATAAACGCCTCCGTGCAGGCCCCTGACTTTTAACCAGGTCAATGTTCACAGTGGATTCTTGTGGGCGACCAGTCCAGTCTGCATTCCTTTGGGCTCATCCAGGATGTTGGCATTCCTTGAACAAACCCTACTTTGTCACAGTATATTGCTATTTTAATTAAAGGCTGGATATAACTTGCATTTACTTTTAAAAATTATTTTATTTATTTATTTATTTATTTATTTATTTATTTATTTATTTATTTTTGAGATGGAGTTTTGCTCTTTCACTCAGGCTGGAGTGAAGTGGCACGATCTCGGGTCACTGCAACCTCCACCCCCCCGGGTTCAAGTGATTTTCCTGCCTCAGCCTTCCAAGTAGCTGAGATTATAGGCGCCTGCCACTACATCCGGCTAATTTTTGTATTTTTAGTAGAGATGGGGTTTCGCCATGTTGGCCAGGCTAGTCTTGAACTCCTGACCTCAGGCAATCCACCCGCCTCGGCCTCCCAAAGTGCTAGGATTACAGGCATGAGCCACCGCGCCCAGCCAAACTTGCACTTATTCTATTTCAGATTTTATATCTGTATCATAGAGAAGAATTCACCTGTAGTTTTCTTTTTGTGTTTTAGTATCAGGTGAAAACAAAATGGGAAGTTTTTCCAAAGTTTGTAAGATTTGCAACTTTCAAGTTTTGCTTTTTTAAGTTTGTATTTTGAAATAATTTTGGATTTACAAACAAAGGTGCAAACGTAAGAGTCCCCATAGACCTTTGACCCAGCTTCCCTAAATATTAGCGTTGTATATAACATAGTCTGATTCTTGAAATCAAAAAATTAACACTGATACAAAACTATTAACTAGTCTACAGACCTTATTCAAATTTTGCCGATAGTACAACTAAATGTACTGTTTCTGGCCCAGGATCCAAGTTCAAATCCCTCATTGCATTTAAGTGTTGTGTGACAATCTGTGACAGCCCTTTAGCCTTTGTTTCCTGAGCTTGACACTGTTGAAGATTTTGTAGAATGTCCCTCAATTTGAGTGAGTCTGATGTTTTCCTTTTTCTTTCTTTTCTTTTTAGAGACAGGTTGTCATCTAGGCTCTGTCACCTAGGCTAGACTGCACTGCAACCTCAACCTCCTGGACTCAAGCGATCTTCCCACCTCAGCATGCTTAGTAGTTGGGACTACAGGCCCATGCCACTGCACCCAGCTAATATACATATTTATTTTTTGGTAGAAATGGGTCTTGCTATGTTGCCCAGGCTGGTCTTGAAATCCTGGTCTCAAGCAATTCTCCCACCTTAGCTTCCCAACATGCTGGCATTACAGGTGTGAGCAACCAACACCAAGCCCTGATGTTTTCTCTGATGAGATTGATGTAAGACATTTTTGGCAAGAATACCACAGAAATGATGTGCCTGTCTCAGCATCAAATCACGAGATGAATGTTATTGCTGTGTCTCCTTATGATAATGTTAACTTTGTTCACTTGGTTAAGGGGGTGTCCGTCTGGCTTCTTTGCTGTAAGGTTTCTATTTTCCCTTTGTAACTAGAAAGTATCTTGCTGTGCATGGTGGCTCATGCCTGTAATCCCAGCACTTTGGGAGGCCGAGGTGGGCAGATCACTTGAGGCCAGGAGTTTGAGATCAGCCTAGCCAACATGGTGAAATCTCGTCTCTACTAAAAATACAAAAATTAGCCGGGTATGGTGGCACAAGCCTGTAGTCCCAGCTACTCGGGAGGCTGAGGCAGGAGAATCACTTGAACCAGGGAGGCAGACGTTGCCGTGAGTCGAGATCGTGCCACTGCACTCCAGCCTGGGCGACAGAGCAAGAATCTGTCTGAAAAACAAAAATACCTTGTTGGGTGCTACTTTAAGCAAATGTCTCATTTGTCTTAGTCTGATCAGGCTGCTATAAACAAAAAATCATACACTGGGTGGCTTATAAACAACAAACATTTATGTCTCACAGTTCTGGAAGCTGGGAAGTCCAAGATCAAGTTACTGGCAGATTTGATGTCTGACAAGGGCCCTTCCTCACAGGCAGCACCTTCTGACTGTGTCCTCACGTGGTGCAACACACGGTAAGGGGCAGTTCCCTTAGGCTTTTTTTTTTTTTTTTGAGATGGAGTCTTGCTCTGTCGCCCAGGCTGGAGTGCAGCAGCGTGATCTTGGCTCACTGCAACCTCCGCCTCCCAAGTTCAAGCAATTCCCCTGCCTCAGCTTCCCGAGTAGCTGGGACTACAGGCACGTGCCACGATACCCGGCTAATTTTTTGTATTTTAGTAGGGACGGGGTTTCACCATGTTGGCCAGGATGGTCTCCATCTCCTGACTTCATGATCCACCTGCCTCAGCCTCCCAAAGTGCTGGGATTACAGGCATAAGCCACCACACCTGGCCCCTTAGGCTTCTTTTTTTGGAGCACTAATTCTAATCATGAGGGCTCCACCCTCATCACCTAGACCTAATCACCTCCCCAAATGCCACACCTTCTAATACCATCACCTTGGGGGTTAGGCTTCAATGTGTGAATAGGTGGGGGGACACATTCAGACCACAGCACCATTTATCATCATATTTTTGCTCACTGCATTTAGCATCCATTGATGATTTTTTTTTTTTTTGAAACAGAGTCTTGTTCTGTCACCCAGGCTGGAGTGCAATGGCATGGTTGGCTCACTGCAACCTCTGCTTCCCAGGTTCAAGAGATTCTCCTGCCTCAGTCTCCCAAGTAGCTGGGATTACAGGCACGCGCCACCACACCTGGCTAATTTTTGTATTTTTAGTAGAGACGGGGTTTCACCATGTTGGGCAGGCTGGTCTCGAACTCCTGACCTCAGGTGATCCACCTGCCTTGGCCTCACAAAGTGCTGGGATTACAGGCGTGAGCCACTGTGCCCAACCCATTGATGATCCTCGCCTGCAAAAATTATTACTGTGATGTTTACCAAATGGTGATTTTTCTGCTTCCATCTTCCTTCTACATGTATTCACTGGCATTCCACTGTAAGAAAGGGTTGTCAATTCTCCCCCATGTATTTATCCAATTTTTTTATGTCATTATGGACTCTTGGCTACTTATTTTATTCTATAAGCTATAACCCATAACTATCGTTATTGTGTTACTCAGCTTGTTCTGGATTTGGTCACTGGGAGCCCCTTCAAGTTGGTTATTGCATTCTTTTGACAAACATTAATCATTTTTTGAGCACTTTATTATTTTCTAGTACCACAAGATGTTCTAGATTCATCTTGTTCTTTCCCTGTCATGGCCCTTCAATCAGACATTCCTCCAAGGAGCTCTGGTTCCTTTTATTGAAGGATGATATTTAGAAACCAAGATCTGGAAGCTAGGTGTGCTCATCCCTAGTGGGATATCATTACCTCTAGGCTCCATCATCAGAGCTGGGAAATATACATACATCTATATCTCTTTATCTATATATTTATCTATGTATCTAACTATTAAAAACCATGAGTATATACTGATACCTCCAATTCTCATCTAACACCACCACATTCATTCTAGCCTTCCACCTTTCCTTGTTTGTAACTTCCTTCCTCAACACCGAAAAACTTGGCTCTCATTATTCACAATATATTTACTTATTTGTTCAATCTTCACATATATATATAAAAGAGTTTCAGAATTTCTAACCCATATACCTGTGAGATATAGATTTGCTCATCAGAAAACAGACCCCTTAAGCAGTAATACCAACACAATGTGGTACAAGTTGTGTTTTTTTTTGTTTTTTTTTTTTTTTCATCTTTAGCTTTTGTATTAGTCTGTTCTCACATAGCTATAGAGAAACACCTGAGACTGGGTAATTTTTATAAAGAAAAGAGGTTTAATCGGCTCATGGTTTTGCAGGCTGTGCAGGAAGCGTAGTGGCTTCTGCTTCTGGGGAGGCCTCTGGAAGCTCACAATTGCGGTGGAATGCAAAGTTGGGGCTTGCATGTCACATGGCCAGAGAAGGAGCAAGAGAGACCAAGGTGGGAGGTACTACACAATTTTTTTTTTTTTTAGATGGAGTCTCACTCTGTCGCCAGGCTGGAGTGCAGTGGTGCGATCTTGGCTCATTGCCACCTCTGACTCCCTGGTTCAAGCGATTCTCCTGCCTCAGCCTCCCAAGTAGCTGGGATTACAGGCATGTACCACCACACCTAGCTAATTTTTGTATTTTTAGTTGAGACGGAATTTCACCATGTTGGCCAAGATGGTCTCAATCTCCTGACCTCATGATCCGCCTGCCTTGGCCTCCCAAAGTGCTGGGATTACAGGCATGAGCCACTGCGCCTGCCCAGTACTACACACTTTTAAATGACCAGATCTCATGAGAACTCACTCTCAAGAGGACAGTACCAAGAGGGATGGTGAAAAACCATTCATGAGAAATCTGCCCCCATGATCCAATCACCTTCCAACAGGCCCCACCTCCAGCACTGGGGATTACATTTCAGTATGAGATTTGGACAGGGCACATACTTATAGTATGTAGTCAAAATATGGTTTTCTATGTTACTTGGTTAGTTCCTTTTGTCTTCTCCTTCCTCAGTATGATTATATCATTCATTTGTAATAGGTTCATTTGTTACTGTTCATATTCAGTTTTGGGTTCCCATCACATCCTGATTGATGTAAACTTACTACTTTAGGGTGAGATGAGGATATATGTAGCATTATCATGGTCCTCAAAGTAAGAACTGTACAAACAGCATACTCAGAGAATTGTCATTTCTCCCATCCCTTCTATCCTTACCCCCAATCTCCCATTCTTTCCAGACTATCCCTACCTATCCACTGTAGGTAACCAATCTCATCAGTTTCTGGTTGATCCTTCCTATACTTGTTTTTCTACAAATGAGAAGATACATGCATATTTTCTTATTTCTCTTTCTTTTTTACATGAAAGGTTAGCATACTATATTTTTCATGGTAGTATTTTTTAAAAGCATGGTAGAATTCTGTCCTTTAAAATTTGATAGAAGTCATCTATGTAACTACCAAGACATGGAGACTTTCAAGAGAGATGTTCTTTGATAATTTATACAATTCCATGGTTATTGGTCTATTCAGAGTGTATCTCTTCTTAAGTCAATTTTTGGTAATTCATGTCTTACCAGGAAAGTTAAGATATTGAGTAGAAGATGCAAATCTTTCTTTAGTTCAGAGAAAATTTCTTCTGCCATATATTTTATTTTCTCCTCTCTCTCCTTGTGGAATTACTGTTATACACATATTAGACCTCTATAGTCTAGCTATCACAGATCATCTTTTCTCTTCTGAATTCCAGGATAAATTTTCAAGCTTGAGTTCTGGGTCACACATTCAGCTTTCTTCGGTTCCCAATCTTCTGTTCATTGTTTCCATTGAGGTTTAAATTTAGCAAGCTAAAAATGTTTCCTAATTTCAGTTTGTAATTTCTTAATGATTCCTTGTAATTTCAGTTTGTAATTACATAATCCACTACACTTGCAAATACAATATCCTCCCAAATATTATTAAAAACATAAAAGAGAAAGATGTTTAATTTTTTTTCCTCTTCTTCTTGTGGAAATTTCATTTCAAAGGAAACTAATTTTCTCTGACCATGTTCCGTTCTGTTGAAAGTCTGAATCTTTTTGTGTTTTCATATCATTACTTTTTCTCTCTCTGTTTATTTTTACCAGGAGGGAGTCTATATTTATTCTGGAATAGAAGTTGAGGTGGTTCTCCTGATTATCATGAATAGTCAGTAAGCATTCAGTCAAATAAATAAGTGGAGAGAGGTATTTTAAGCAGAGAGGACAGAGAGAGGAAGGGCATGAAGATATAAAAGCCCAATGTCAGCCAGGCACAGTGGCTTGCACCTGTAATCCCAGCACTTTGGGAGGCCCGGGTGGGAGTATTGTTTAAGCCTAGGAGTTTGAGACCTACCTGGGCAACACAGCAAGACTCCATTTCTACCAAATTAATAATAATAATAATAATAATAATAATAATAATAATAATAATAATTAGCTAGGCATGCCTGAGGCAGGAGGATGGCTTGAGCCCAGGAATTTGAGGCTGCAGGGAGCATTGATCATGCCACTGCACTGGGTGACAGGAAGACCAATGTGGATTTTCTTTTCTCACATATTTTATGTACTGGGATATAATTTACAAAGAGCAGAATATGTAACTTTTAAGTGAAGATCTCACTAACTTGTGCATATGCAGAAACCATTTAACCACCATCAAGATAAAAACACCACCCCAGAAAGTTCACTCATGTCCACTTTCTGGCTAAATTGTTCCCTTCCCCCAAGATAACCATCATTCTGACTCCTATCACTATAAGTTAGTTTGCTGGTTCTTGAACTTCATATAAATGGAATCATGCACTATATTTTCTTTTGTGTCTGGCTTCTTTTGCTCAGCATCATTTTTGTGAGATTCACCTATGTGGACAAATGCATCAGTCATTTATTCCTTTTTACTGCTGAGTAGCATTCCAGTGTACGAATATCCCACAATTTAACAAAAAATGCATTCTACTATTAATGATATTTAGGGTGTTTCCAGTTTGGGGCTATTATAAATAAAGTTGCTACAGTCATTCATATATATGTTTCTGTGGGGATATATACATTCATTTATCTTGGATATATACCTAGGAGTGGAATTTCTAGGTCACAAGTAGATGTATATTTAACTTTATTAGATACTGCCAATCAGTTTCCCAAACTTGTTGTGCCGTGTTACACTCCTACAAGCAATATATGAGTGTTTCAGTTGCTCCACATCCTTGCCAACATTTGGTGTTTTCAGTATGAATTTTAGCTATTCTAATGACTGTAAAGTGGTAACTCATGGTTTAAGTTTGCATTTCCCCAAAGACTCATCATGTTAGCACCTTTTCGTGTGTTTATTGGCCATGCGCATATCTTTTTTTTGTTGAAGTGTCTGTTCAAGTCTTTTGCCCATTTTTAAATTGGATTCTTTGTCTTTACTACTTTTGAGTTGTGGGAGTTCTTTATATATTCTGGCTATAAGTTACTAGAAATCTTACTATCCACTGGTGGATAGTAATGATGTCAACTGAGATAGGGAAGGCAGGAGAAGGAGTTTGGGAGAAGATGAGGAATTTATTTTAGGTCATGGAGTAATTAAAAGGCTTTTGGATTGATTATCTAGGTATGGGTGTACAGAAAACACTTGGAATTACAGATCTGGAGCTCAAGAGAGAAGTCTGGGCGATAGTTTGGGAGGGATCAGTATGATGGGAATGGATGAGATTGCCCAGGGAGAAGAGAAGCAGCCTTATCTGAAATCTCAAGCATTGTAATGTTTAAGAGATGATGAAGAAATGAAGCCAGAAGAAGAAAACAGAAATCATGGTGAGAGGTGGAGGAGAAGCCAAGGAGGGGATTTTCAAGAAGGAGTGGTGCCAAATGCTGTAGTGAGGTAAGAAAATGAAACCATTGGAGTTGACATTTGGGGTTTCCCTGGTGGTCTCTGTTCAGAGAATTGAGGAATAAATGTAAGATGAGGAAGTGGAGGCAGGGGTAGACTCCTCTTTGAAAACATTAGGCAGTGAAAGGAAGGAGAGTGATTTCAAAGAGCCATAGATTTTAAAACAAAGCAACAAAGGAGTTGTAGAAAGAGGTACATAATCAGATGCTTAATGAGTGACAGAGGTACCTTTCAGAGTTTTTCCAGCAGCTTTGGGGAGGTGGGAAATGGAGAATGGATAGGTGTCAGGTGCTGATCAGATCTGTGACAGGGAGACGCAGACAGAACTCAGTGTTGACGGCGTGGCATAACATGCAGGCTCCACATCTGGGCCACAGCTGTAGGTGGAGAGGAGAATGCCTACTTCTGAGGGGATGTACGATGGGACCAAGTTGGCTTCTTGGGATGCTCAGAGCCCTAGGAGTGAGCACCAATGAGCCACTCTTTTGCAGTTTTCCTCCATTTTCAGAAGGCAGGCATCCCATAATTTCTCTGGCAGATTATTTGCCTTTCCAAGTGCTCTCCTAATCCAACATTTCCATCTGGCACACAGTGTCATTCTTGCTCCTGAATTCCTGATTCCAGAGCATTTCTGCCATTTTCTTCCTTTGCACAGTGTGTACCTTCCCTCTTCTCCTCTTCTTCCAAATGTCCATATTTTTGTGGTGGAAAAAGTGGGGACAGGGGAGACAGAAGACTGGAATCCTTATCAAGTCCTCTCTCAGCCCTTGGTGGCTCTGGTTCCTTCTCTGTGAAAGGGTGACGTGTGGGGAAGGGGTTGGGGATGAGGTAGGAGAGGGGGTCTGAGTTCCTTCCCACGTCTAACGATGGCTGGAACCAGGCCTCTGTGTTCAACCAAGGGTACTTTCTGTTTCTGTCCATTTGGGGAAGTTGCTTTTTCTTGGTATTTCGGGAGTCAGGAAAAGAAAAGTCATTGGTGTTCATATCTCTCAAAGCCTCAGGTAGGGCTGCGGCTTTTGACCAACAATAACGTATGACCATGACCTTGTGGCCGAGTTTGCACGCCTCTAACAGATATTATGACACAGTTCCATTCAATAGTGGAAGTGGAGATTTCAGCGTTGCCCTTTGTTAACCCACAAATGAAGTGCTACTCTTCCATTGTGAGGGCTGTCGGAGCAGTAGCCAACCTTCTTATCCCCATTTTTTAAACGAGGGAAAGGAGGCATAGGAAGCGCAGTGTCTTGTGGGATTCCCTGGGGAGTCCTTCCAACTCTTGGTAGAGCATCATCTGCAACGTCGTCTGGGGGAGAAAAGGGGGAGGCAAGAAGAGGGCCTTGACCCTGGAGGCAGGAACTCCCGCACACCCTCACTCCCTTCCCCAGGGGCTGGGGAAACCACTCAGGTGACAGTAGCCTTGGTGCCGGCCAGGGAGGGCGGGAAGTCCAGCCAGAGGCTGGAACAGCAGTGCTGAACGCCGGGACTGGCTGGTATTTCTATGAAGGTTCCTGCAGAAGGATGCGGGTCAAGGTGCCCGTCTGCACAGCAGTAGTGCAGGCATTTTAAGGGTTAAGGGCACCCAAAGAAAATAGAAGTAGGGGCCGGGCGCAGTGGCTCACGCCTGTAATCCCAGCACTTTGGGAAGCCGAGGCGGGCGGATCACGAGGTCAAGAGATCGAGACCATCCTGGCCAACATGGTGAAACCCCGTCTCTAGTAAAAATACAAAAAATTGGGCGTGGTGGCGCGCGCCTGTAGTCCCAGCTACCCGGGAGGCTGAGGCAGGAGAATCGCTTGAACCCGGGAGGCGGAGGTTGTGGGGAGTCAAGATCGTGCCACTGCACTCCAGCCTGGCGACAGAGCGAGACTCCATCTCAAAAAAAAAAAAAAAAAAAAGAAAGAAAATAGAAGTAGGAAGAGGAAGTGGGTCGCAGTGAGAGAAGGAAGCAGCTCGTCGGAGCTTCCTCTTTCTCGTCTTTCCCCTAAGCCCCTACCCCAGACCTGCCCCCCTGCTCCGCCCAGCCCTCCTGCGGGGCCAAAGCCGCGCTTCCGACGCGGGGGCCTAACCTCCCCTTACTCCTTGGGGGTCGCTGGTGCTCCGCGCTGGTGCCCCTCGGGCCACTGCCATGGACCGGCCAGGGTCTGCTTCTTCCGAGGGCTGGCGGGTCAGAGCCGGGGCTGCTTCTCAGACGCCTTGCGGCCTCGGGGGCGTGACCCAGAGGATGTGGGGCCGGGCGCGCACCTGGCTGACGCTGCCGGGCCGCCAGGTGGCTGGAGAGGCCGGCTCCGCGGTCAGCCCCGCCCCATTAGGCCCCGCCCCCTGACAGGCTCCGCCCCGCCCGCCGGAGGAGCCCAGGCTGGGCAGATGCTGCGGCTCGCCGCGCGGCTCCAGCTGGGGCGCGGTGGTCCCGACGGTCACCCGAATCGCAGGGAGTCGCCGCTGGAGAGGGGCTCGGCGCCCGGCGGGGACTGCAGGTGTGTGACTGGGCGGCCAGGGCGGATGCGGAGGGCACGCATGGGAGCTCCAGGCAGAGCTGGAGCAAGCTGGGGACCGTCGGGGAGAGTGGGCTCCGCGAGCAGCCGCCGCAGCCCGAGGGCTGGACAGATCCTGCTATCTTCCGGCCCCGTGGACCTGGCCCACCGCGGGGGCAGCGGGTCTGCAAACCTGCGCTCCAGATAACCCCAGAGACTTAAGGGGCGTCGCGGGGACCACTTATCGTTATCCGGGTAACCTCTGCTGGGCGGCTCTGCGCAGCTGTGTCCTCAGCCTCCTGCCTCTGACACAGGACGCCCTGTGTCGTAGGGTCAGGTCCCCTGCCCGCTCCAGCGGGGAACTGTCCGTGAGCGTGGGCATCAGGGCTCTTGTGCCGTCAGAACCTGGGAGTCATGGAAGTGCCCGCGTAAGGCGCCCTCCGTCGAGCCTCACTCAGCCTGCTAGTTAGCCAGCCTTGGGCCCAGACGCGGCTGCTGTCCTAGAGAACTGCACGCTTTCTGCTCTCAGAGGATCTGTGTTTACACACTGGACATCCCCGCGTGACTCGTGTGTGTGTGTGTGTGTGTGTGTGTGTGGGCATGCGCATGTGCGCGTGCTGGCCCATCCCGGCCTGGGGTAAATACACAAAAAGTTCAGGTCAGTAGGAGGAAGGAGATTGTTCAGAAGGAAAAGGAAGGCGAGGTTAAAGCAGCAGGATGTGGTATAAAGCGAGTTAACAAGACTCGGAGTAGAGAGGAGGGGTGGGTTTAGGCAGAATAAGGGCTAAAAGTAGGCCAAGCCTGCCTCCAAGGTCCTCTCTGGACTGACACCCTCGTTTTCCTTCTGTGTCTTCTCATCCACCCCACACTTTCCTTCCTGCCCTCAGGACCACCTGTAAGGCACTGGCTCCCAGAGCTGACTGCAGGTAGGGCTCTCTTGGAGCCAACCCTACAACGTGGCTTTCCAGGGATGGGATCTGGAATCTGTAGTTTTCAAAACTTTGAATGAGCTCCTTAAGTGATGATGCTGAAGCCGTTGCTTGGGAACCATGCATGATGTGGAAAAGAGACCCAAGTTCCAACCGGATCCAGCTGTGTGACCTGCAGCATCACACTGTCCCCCAACCCAGCCTCAGTCTCCTGATTCATAAAATGGGCTGTCATACTGACCCATAGAGCTGTGTGGAATTATTATTATTATTATTATTGAGACAGGGTCTTGCTCTGTCACTCAGGCTGGAGTGCAGTGGCGTGATCATGGCTCACTGCAGCCTTAAATTCCCAGGCTCAAGCAATCCTCCGCCTCCGCCTCCCAAGTAGCTGGGATTACAGGTCAGCACCACGGCGCCCAGCTAATTTTTGTATTTTTTGTAGAGGCAGGGTTTTGCCATGTTGCCCAGGTTGGTCCCAAATTCCTTGAGCTCAAGCGATCCGTCTACCTTGGCCTTCCAAAGTGCTGGGATTATAGACATGAGCCACTGTGCCTGGCCCAGTGTGGAAAATTAAGTGAGGCATGTATGATGAGAACGGCTGCACGTGGGAGATGCTCCGTGGATGTTTGTAGAACGCTGGCTTCCGTGTTTCCTCGTTGTGGCTGTGGTGGTGTGGGTCTTTGCCTGTGGACCCGTGGAAGACAAAGAAGACAGTTTTGGATGGTCAAGCTACTTTCTTGCTTCAGGGCTCCCTCCCCTGCTTTTTGAAGCCTCACAAACCAGGACTGTGAGGGCAGGAAGGCTTGGGGTCTTTGTGTGCTGAGCCTCATTAGGGTTTTAAGAACCTCCCTCCTTTCATCTCTAGCTTACGAGAGGGATGATTCATTATCTTCCCTCCTCAGGCTGCAGTAGAAGCAGACAGTCTCTGCCTCCCTGCTTGCCTTTCCTCCCTCCCATTCACTGTTGATTATTGCCCTCAAGAATAACAGGTTGCCCAGCTACTCGAGAAGCTTAAGTGGGAGGATTGCTTGACCCCAGGAGTTCGAGGCTGCAGTGAGCTATGATCGCTTCACTGCGCTATAGCCTGGCAGACACAGAGAGACCCTATCTCAAGCAAACAGACAAACAAAAAAAAAAAAAGAAGAAGAAGAAGAAGAATAGGTTGGATGCTAACTGGTGGCACTGGGTGACAAGAGCATTTGGGGTTGATGTTGGCATGAGGATGAGAAGGCAGGGGTGCAGGCTGCTCCATACCCCTGTGTTAGCCATCCATCAGGGGCCTGCTGGCTGAGGAGTGGGAGAGGAGGAGAGCCAGGATCCTTTTTGCCTGGGTAGCCTAGAGTTTGGAAGCCCCAGCTTGGGTTCCACTGAGCACTCAAGCTGTGCTGACTTGGCCTTTCTTCAAAGATGCTCATCCCAAGGGACTGAGCTGCGTGGCCCTGTGGGACCTCTGAGAACCAGAATGCCTGTTTGGCCTCAGCTGGTGAGCTAAAAGCCTGAACCAATGTGTTAAGAAAGAAAGCTGGCCAGGCATAGTGGTTCATGCCTATAATCCCAGCACTTTGGGAAGCCAAGGCTTTGAGGCCAGGAGTTCGAGGCTGCAGTGAGCTATGATCGTGTCACTGCATTCCAGCCTGGGCAACAGAGTGAGACCCTGTCTTTACAAAAACAAAAAATAAAATTTAAAAAACAGAGAAAGCTCCTGGAAGAAGAAGATAGAGTGATCCTTAACAAGTCAAGGGAGAGGTGTTTAATTTGATTTTTGAGCCTCAGATATAGATGGGGTGGGAGGAGAGAAAGGAAAGAGTACATCTGACTTCTGCCCAAAGGGAAGATGATACCCTCCCGTAGCAAACATATATTACATAGTAAAATATTTCATCAATTTGAAGATGTACATATTTTCACATTTTAGCACTGAATGTGCTAATTGTATGAATTTCACTGAAATCAAGGTGCATTTTACTGTTTATGGCATCTTCCAATTATAATAGGCAACAATATTTCTTCCTTATTGCCACACAAAATAACGGTGCATCTTACAATTGATGGCATCTTAGATTCTATTAAATACAGTGCACTTTTTATAGATTTGGGGGATGTGTTAGCGATACACAGGTCCACACAGAATTATGTTGTTCTCATAGCTTTCATACATTAATTTTTCCAGTAGCTCTACCTTCTAAGTATCAGAACTTTTCATTGTATTATGTTTTAAAAGAAATCTTTGTAAAGTATGTTGCTTGCATTTATAAATGTAGCATGTTGGATATGATTGAATAATTTCTTGAAATTTTCATCAAATGGTTCTGGCCTGCCATTCTCTTTTGTACCCTGTGTCTTTTTGTACATTCATGCTTCGTTCTCTTTCATCTTTCTCCCTGTCCTTTTCTCCTTTGGCTATGACTTCATGGTGTTGGGCACTGTGCTGAGTATGTCATGTCCTTTAATCTTCACAGTCACACTCTGAGGTAGCTACAATTATTGCCCCCATTTCACATATGAGAAAACCGAGGGCCAAGGCCACACATTTAGGTGGTGCCAGAGCTGGGCTGACTCTGGCGTCTGCTCTTAACCAGAATTGACCAAGCCTAAGTGGTGGCCTAGGTGTTCCTGTGGGTGTCAAGCGCATGCCCCATACAACACAATTTGGGGGCATGAATTGTGGCCACGAGGTGCTTTTGTTTGGTTGCTTGCTTGTAGGATAGCAGCTAGGTTCTGGATAGTTGAGGTTATCGGTTAAGTGACTTCCAGATAAGTGAGTCACAGCTACAGCAAGTTACACCCAAAAGGGGGTTGGGGGCTGATGAATGGGAAGAAATGGATGACTTTCATGGCACAGAGAAGATCCTGGGTCCTTCTTGAGTCTTCTGAGTCTATCAAGTGGCTTGCTAGACTTTGGGCCCTAGAGTTCGGCATCCACAGGAGACTCCTGCTTCCATGGAGCTTCTCTCCTGCTGCCATGGTGATGTAAGATTACACATCTGCGTGAGTCACTTTTATTTTCATTTTTTTTTAAATTATTATTTTTTAGACAGAGTTTCGCTCTTGTCACACGGGACGGAATGCAGTGCCGTGATCTCGGCTCACTGCAACCTCCGCCTCCTGGGTTCAAGCAATTCTCCTGTCTCAGCCTCCCGAGTAGCTGGAGTTACAGGCGCCCGCTTCCACGCCTGGCTAATTTTTGTATTTTTAGTAGAGATGGGGTTTCGCCAAGTTGGCCAGGCTGGTCTCGAACTCCAGACCGCAGGTGTTCTGCCCGCCTTGGCCTCCCAAAGTGCTGGGATTACAGGTGTGAGCAACCGCGCCCGGCCTGCGTGAGTCACTTTTCAGCTGAAAACGCTGCAGAGCTGCATGACTTTCCAGAGACGGTCCACACCCACCACCCATCCCAGGTCCACCCCTCCTTCTTCCTCTCCTGTAGCCTGAGGAGACCTCTGCACCTTTGCGTGTGCTGTTGCTTCTCCCCAGATTGCTCTTCCCTGCCTCTGCCTGCCTGGTGAACTGCCAGTTCCTCCTAGAAGCCCAGCTCAAGCCTCATCTTCTGAATCCTTCCCTGATGCTCTTCCTTTGCCCTTCAGCACTGACCGCCCCCTCCTTCTTCATTGTGCTTTCTATGTCTTCGCACCATAGCACTGACCGCCCAGGCCTACAGGGGGACCAGTGACCTGGCACAGCTATGGCCTGCTCACCCTAGCCACTTGATGTTCAGCATGGCGTCAGGCTGTCACTCTGAAACTCCCTGGGATCTCACAAGCAAGGCGTCCATGCACAGCAACAGCAGAAGTTGCCAGATCACAGGATGGGGTGGGGGGCTGGGGGTGGGGCCCGGAGGGAGTGGTGTGCTTTTCATTTTCATGTCCTCAGGAGTCTTGTTGTTGTTGTTGACCTAGGCAAATGAGCTTGTGTGGTTTCCTTGTTAGAGTGCAGGGCTGGGGTGTGAGGGCTGAAGGTGGCTCACATGGAGCCCAGTTCCTGCCAGGCTCCCCAACTCCTAGCCACGTGATCTTTGCTAAGTCCATGTACCTCTCTGCATGTCAGTTTCCCCATCTGTGGGATGGAAATCTGGCACTCAATGCTTTATGTGGCCCCTGCCTAATCGCTAACATTTCACTTGTTCATTCAACACTTCTGCATGGAGCGCACCTTCTGTGAGCCAGGCATGTGCCAAGCTCTGAGGACACTGAGCAAGACAGGCAATGTTCCTGCCCCGTGGAACTCACAGTCTCATAGACAAGACATGCAACACACATATTGTTCAATTACAATTGTGAGAATTATGGGATACTATGAGATTATGGAAAGGGAACTCAATATAGTTGAGGGGTTAAGGAAAGGTTTCTCTGAAGAAGTCATATTTGAGTTGAGACTTGAAAGATATAAAGTAAAAGAGAATCATAACAATCATAATACTAATACCTACCATGTAGTGAATACTTGCTAAGGGCTTTTTGAGTGCATTCTCTCCAGCATTCTTTTCAACATCTCATGTGTGGGGTATGTGGGCTCCCTCTCCTGTGAGGATCAGATGATAGCACTACTGGCAAGCACCCTTCTCAGTGTCTGACACAGACCAGGGACTCGTTCCCACCTTCCTCACCCCTCCCCGTATTCCAAGGTCCAGCTTATGGACGCTGAGGTCATCAATACTAATGGGGGGGCCTCTCTTCTCCTTTCCACTGACCATCACCAGATAGCGTGTCCCGCTCAGGAGCCCTCTGCATTTGTGCATCTCCATCAACAGCTCAGGGAGTTGAGTCCCCAACCACAGAAAACTCCACCGTATTTTTTGCCAGGCCTTCATTCTGTTCCTCTTAGGAGCCGCTGTTCTGGGAGGGTTCAGAAGCCCTGATCTGGATTGTCTGTCTCATCTAGGAAGTCACTTGTCCAGCTCCCATATCCTTCTTCCACCAAAGCTTTCTCCCCAGAACCATGAAGTCTGTGCAGACGTATCACTGGGTTTTTGGCCTGAGCATTTGTTCCTGCATGGCTTGGTGGTTTGGCCCTTTTCAGGCAAATCTCCATACAGCCACTTCCACCCAACCTGGCCGAGCCAGCCAGCCTCCTGGGGGAGCGTTCTGCAACCAGATCACATCTACACTGACAACTCTTCGAGGAGAGTCTCAAACTCTCTCTAGATAGTTGGCCCCTTTGAAAAACTGATGAAAGCGAAAGATCATCTCTCTCGTCACCCATAAGCACACATGTACATGTGAATGCATGTGCACACACACACACACACACACAGTCTCTCTCGCTCAAAGTTTTGCATAAAATTCTAAGGTCTTCTTGGATCTCTGCAGTTCACCAAGGGACCCAGGTTAATAACTCCTGTTCTAGAAAACATGACTTTCTGTGTGCTGATTTCTTTGGATTATCCCCAGCACAGCTCCCTGTGGGAGGAAGCTGTTGTCAGAAGCAAGCTGGGGGTAGTGATGGATAATGAAAACTGTGTAGAGGACACTGGTAGCGACTCACTGGTGAGAACCCTGAAGCGGCGTGCTGGGGGCCATCTCATGACTGCACACTGGGCCACTGCTCTGTTGTTGGATTTCTCACCAAGTTTTGAATTCAGCCCATTTCCAAGATGATTAAAGAGTGAAAGAGAAGGCCCTGCGTGGTGGCTCACACCTGTAATCCCAGCACTTTGGGAGGCCGAGGCGGGCAGATCACCTGAGGTCAGGAGTTCAAGACCAGCCTGACCAACATGGAGAAACCTCATCTCTACTAAAAATACAAATATTAGCCGGGCGTGATGGCACATGCCTGTAATCCCAGCTACTTGGGAGGCTGAGGCAAGAGAATCGATTGAACACGGAGGCGGAGGTTGTGGTGAGCCGAGATCGCGCCATTGCACTCCAGCCCAAGCAACAAGAGGGAAACTTCATCTCAGAAAAAAAAAAAAAGAGAGAGAGAAAAAAAAAGGTGTCTGTGGCCACACACATGAATATAAACAGTCTACGGATCAGAGAGGCATGCATGACTGTTCCTTTGCCACAAAAGTCTGCAACCTCCCAAGTTCCCAGGGACAGGCATGAGCTTGGGGCTTTGTTTCTCTGATGTGGTCATAGTTCTTTAGAACCAGTGCCTTGATGTAAAGTGCCATGTGTGAAGGACGTTTTCTTCAATTCCTCCTTTGTAAGGATTTTTAAAAGCATGAATGGATGTTACATTTGTCCAATACTTTTTTAAAGCATCTGCAAGGAAACTCTTGTACTCTTTCACCTTGTGATAGATTTATGTGACACATTAGATCATTAGCTTCCACATATTGAGCCCTCTGCATTTCTGGAGTAAACTCAATTGGGTCAAGGTGCTTTATTCCTTCAGTACTGTGCTAGGTTTGATTTGCTGTGATTTTCTTTAGGATTTTTTTTTTTTTTTTTGAGACAGTCTCACTCTGGAGTGCAGTGGTGCGAACCTCCACCTGCCAGGTTCAAACAATTCTCATGCCTCAGCCCCTGAGTACCTGGGATTACAGGCACCCACTACCACGCCTGGCTAATTTTTGTATTTTTAGTAGAGACGGGGATTCACCATGTTGGCCAGGCTGCTCTCGAACTCCTGGCCTCAAGTGATCCACCAGCCTTGGCCTCCCAAAGTGCTGGGATTATAGGAGTGAGCCACCGCATCCCACCTTTCTTTAGGATTTTTGCATGAAATGAATTTGACCTCTATTTTCCTTTTCTGTGCTGCCGTTGTCAGTTTTTGATATACTGACTTTGCAAATGATTTTGGAAGCACGTTACCTTCTCCCACGCCCTGTGACAGCTTATAGAGCGGGGAATGAGCTGCTCCTTGGAAGCTGGGAGAACGGCTCCAGTCTTGAGGTCTTCCACTGTGGGATTCTTGGCTTCCCACTCCCCAAGCTTCCTTCTCTTCTCTCTTCCTCAGTCCTCCCAGGTACAAATCTGTAAACCTCAGAGCTCCCAGGCTCATGCCCGAGAGCCATCTTTGATTCTTGGCTTCCAATGTTCAGCCACTAGGTCCCATGGGTCCTTACTTTATATGCCCTTCAGCTAACAAGCATGCCTATTTCCACACTGAACTGGGCATATCCACCTTGAGTGAATTCCAGGTGCTGCATTTGGAGGATGCTGAGCAACCACTTCATATCCAGAGATAGGTGACCAGGATAGCGATGACAGAATATGAAGTAATTAAGAAGTAGCGAGGTTTTTCTCCAAGAAGAGAAGACAGAGGAGAAGTAGTATCTGTCTTCAGATGTTTGACGAGCAGTGTCCTTTGAAAAAGGTGAAGACTTCTCAACTGGGTGTCATTCTCTGGAATGGAAAAGGGATGACAGAAGGAAAATTGTAAGAAAATAGACTCCAGCTCACTAGAAGGAAGATCTCAGAGAAATTCAGAGCAGGTCAACAGTGGAATGGGAGGCTTCGTGGTGGCTAGTTTCCCGTTGGGGAAGTATGCAGGGAAAATACATGTTATATATTATGGAAATGATAGCCGTGAGAAAGGAGACCAATATAGCTTATTTTTAAAGAGCCTGTAGTTCTCTAAATCATGGTGGCCATGTCTGACTGGTTGTGTAAACGCTGGTTGTTCTGAGAACATGATTTGAGTTTGAGTAGTTCAGTGACCTTGAATAAACAGGTCCCAAAGCTGGGCAGTTTGCTCAGAAACCCCACAGCCCTGCTTCACAGCCCGTTCTCCGCAGCAGAAGCACCTTGGCTGTGAGAAAACCATAGCCATTCATGGATACTGGGATCCTCGCCCACATCCTCTGCTGGGAGCATGGGCTTTTCTTGAGGTCTCTTGTTCTTGGCTCCTTCTGATACTTGGTAAAATAAACTAATTGAACACCATTTCAAAATTGCCTTCCTCCGTGAGTGTCCCAGATAAGATCTTGGGGCCAACCTATCTCACCTCCAGGTTGAGCTGGGAATTGATGTCCTCTTGTTCTTGGGGTTTTCACGTCAATGTTTCATAGGTCTTTGCACTGTGCATTCACTTCTGTACCATGTTGAGAGTTTCATTTTGAGAAAACGAAAAGCTCTGCGCTCTCCTTGGCCTGTTATTGTGCTTAAGAGAACACAGGGGGCTGTGATGTGATGTACGGGCTACAGGATGGGAATAGGAGATGTAATCTCTAGTCCTGGCCCCTAATTACTTCCTCATCTTGCTGAGTCTGTTTCCTCCTGGACCAACTGGACTCTATGATTCTGACCACCTGGGAGTTTTCAAAGCCTGCTCTCCAAGAGTTTTCTTGTGGGAGCTGCTCTGATGGGCTGAGCAGAGAGGGGACCTGCTCCTTCCCTCATGGTGCCACCTTATGACAGGACTCCCAGTGACTATGAGTCCCTCTTCAGACCTCAATGGCAGAAACCCACCCTCTAGCCCATGCTTCTGCTGGAAGGCTTCCTTTCAGGTCACTGGTGGCTCTGGAATGGCAAGTTCCAATAGTCTCTTCCCAACCTGCATCTTTTTTTTTTTTGAAGTCTCCATAAAGTCTGATGCCCGACAAATTTTTGTTTTATTTTTTATTTTTGAGAAAGGGTCTCACTCTGTCACCCAGACTGGAGTACAGTGGCACGATCACAGATCACTGTAGTGTCAACCTCCCCAGGCTCAGATGATCCTCCTGCCTCAGTCTCCTGAGTAGCTGGGACTACAGGTGTATGCCACCACGCCCAGCTAATTTTTTGTGTGTGTTTTTTGTAGAGACAGGGTCTCACTATGTTGCCCAGGCTGTTCTCAAACTCCTGGGCTCAAGTGATCTACCTGCTTCGGCCTCCAAGTACATGCGGGTTATTTTCACTTGATGCCCTATTTCAACTTGAGCAATATCCAGAGCCCAACTCTGCATCCACAAAGCAGGCTTCCTGTGCAGACTTCCCCATTTCTGTCTCTGCTGAAACCAGACTCCCAGCCTTGAAACCTTGGACTCATCTCCGAGTCCTCCCTCCATCTTCCTTGTTCCCCACTCCCCAGCCCGTTTTGATGGTGCTTCCTTTCTCCATGGCTCTTGTTTCTCTCACTTCCCCATTGTTCTCTCTCCTACCCAATTTGGCTTTATTTACCATATGCCTCTGGTGGGCCTTTTGGACCACAGGCTCTTCCTCTCTTCACCAGGAGATTCTTCTTATGAAAACTTCTATGTCACTGTGTTCAGATACTTTGATGGCACCCCACTGCTTAGGGAGAGTCCAGAGTCCTTAGTCTTCTGTTCAGGTTTCGAAGTTGAGTCCCACTCCTTTCTCCACGAATCATCACGCTCTCCTCCAGCCAGACTGCCTGACTCAGTTTTCCCAAGACCTAACGTGTGTTCTTGCCTCACTCATCCCCTTCCCAATGAGGGAAGCTTTCCAATCATTTTGTTCAGTGCTGACTCTCCAGTGCCTTGCAGGGGCCAGCACTTGTCATTCAATCAGTGCTTGCTGAATGAGTGATTGCCTGGTCGAGCAGCCAGCATGGAAGAGGCCCGGGCCTCAGCCTTGGATGACTGATGATCGGGCAGGCTGGGCTGCTCCCCATCTGAGACCTCTGTGGGGTTCGGTCATCCTCCCCTCAAGGACCCTCCAGACATATCACTGGTCTTCTGTGCACAACTGCAAGGGCTTCAGACACCAGTGGCTTTGTGATCCACTGTGGGACAAGGCAGGTGTCCTCCTCTGGGCTGCTTCAGACCCCTGAGCCTCTGGCAAACTCCAGATGCAAACTCCAGGTGCTGAGAACCCTCTGCTTGGGAATCTTTTTTTTTTTTTTTTTTTTGAGACGGAGTTTTGCTCCTGTTGCCCAGACTGGAGTGCAGTGGCACAATCTTAGTTCACTGCAACCTCCGCTTCCTGGGTTCAAGCAATTCTCTTGCCTCAGTCTCCTGAATAGCTGGAGTTACAGGTGCCCGCCACTACACCAGGCTAATTTTTGTACTTTTAGTAGACATAGGAGTTTCACCATGTTGGCCAGGCTGGTCTTGAACTCCTGACCTCAGGTGATCTACCCGCCTCGGCCTCCCGAAGTGCTGGGATTAAAGGCATGAGCCACCGCACCCGGCAGGGAATCTTCTTACCACCCTCCCATTTAGTCAGATTTAAGATGAGCAGTTAGCTAAGTCTGAGAGCAGGGGAAGCCCTGGGGAACCTTCCCCCAACAAGCCACTCCCAGTCTGGTGACAGCTTCTGCATAAGAGCCTGGGGAAGTGTCTGTTTGCAACACGGTGTTTACAAGGCAGAGGGGCTTCCTGTCCCGCCCGTGCCAGGCTGTGGGGCAATCAGGGCAATCAGGAGCTGTGTTTTCAGAGGGAGTAAGGCGAAGAAACTGTTGAGGGATTTCTGGAGATTCTTCGAACATCACCAGGGGGTGCCTGGCCTACTTGACCCTGGAGGACAAGGGAGATGTAAAATTCAGGTTTAAAAATTGGGAGCAAATTAAAGTATTACTAACTGATTAATTTGCATATGGTCCTTTGCACCTTGCAAAAATACAAAGCATTTTTCACAAAAGTAGCCCTCCCTCTGAGTCTAATGTGGAAATCTCTAGAACAAAAAACTTCCTTTTCTCACTCCCAAGCCGGGGGAGCTTGGGTCAGAGTAAGCAAGGACAAAGTTATTTCTTTTTCTTTTTTCTTTTTTTCTTTTTTTCTTTTTTTTTGCAGAGGAAAGAGCACTTTCTGGGGGAAGGGGAGAGCGGTGGAAATTACTCCCCAGGAGCGATAACTCCCCCATTCCAATTCAGAGCTCATGCATGATGGAGAGTGACACTCTCTCCGTGCATATCTGAGAAATGGGCTGAGGAGGCTGATACTGGACCCTCTGCCTCCTCCAAGGACTGTGGCAGCCCTAGGACACACACCTGCCAACCTGGAACCATTGCCATGGCTCTCACAGAAACACGAGCTTGTGTCCAGAGCCCTTGTTGTCTCTTGGGCCTCAGTAAAAGTATCTGGAAAGGTCTTGGAAGGTGGGTTGGGCTTTCTTGGCCCTGGGGACAGGAATATAGTCCACTTCCCCTCTTCAGTGGGTGGGTAACCCAAGAGTGGGTGATCAAAAGATGGGGCTCACTCTTACCACCTGACTTCTGAAGACCTGAGGTTGTTTTTAGTGGTGAATCCATCCTCTGAACCCATTTGATGCCAAATGTGAGCTGGCCAGTGGTAGGGCCAAGGTGCAAAGGCTCCTGTGAGTTCAACACATTAGCCTGTGGGTCACGGTGCTATGATAGCTGTTGGTGTGAGGGGATTTGCTTTACTGTGCAAAACAAGAGAAAAATAAGGGTGTGGCCCTTTAAAGAACTTGCTAATAAAAACCTCCCACTTGAGAGAGGCAGAGCTTGGCCTAAAGGGTGGGGTTGAGGAGGGAGATGATGGGTGGAGTTGAACAAGGACTAGCCTTATGTAAGCATCAAGAAAACACATTTCTGAACTAGTGAGGCTAAGTAGCTCAGGTCCAAGGCATGTGAGACATTTGGGAGTTGGTTCAGAAGGCTGTTCTAGAGGGTACTTGAGTTGCCTAGCAGATAGATGGTGGGGACTTGTGGAAGTTGATGGAAGCAAGCCCTCAATGCTGGACCATGTAATGGGTGCAATGAATAAAGAAGGAGGCGTCCAACTTCCCATTCCCTCATTCTCCCAACTGTGGTCCAAGGCACTGTGCTATTACAGTCCAGCACTCTCCTCTGAGATAGATGTAGCTGGTCAAGAATGCTCCTTCTTGGACCATGGCTCAACTCTGCCAGGTTCCCATCAAGGCTCCTGTCCAGGGGCTGTTGAAGGGATTGGGTTGCAGCCATGGTAATCATATGATAACGGCCACAGTTGCAACTTGGGTCCAGAGCTCAGTGGCCTCAGAGGGTCCCATCTCCCCTCCTCCCCCTACCTTTCCTGCATTTTCAAAGCTGCAGGCTTACTTCTCGTTGGCTGTGTTACTCCGAAGATCTGCTCAGTAGATGGAGGTGAAAATGTTATTTTTCACTAAAATATCTGACCTTGTTTAAGGAGAAAAAATTTTGTAATAATGCCCATAATTTATTCTCATGGTACTTTATTGACCAGTAAGAGATTACCCCTAATTCATTTATAAAAATATTACTCTCTCGACTTAAGTCGCTTCAATACTAACTGGCCAGCCCAGTTTGCTCCAATGAGTGTCTGGCCTTTAAATAGCTCAATCCCTGCTGCTCTCCCTAGAGTAGGACACACAGAGGTGGGGACTCCATGTAGAAAACCTGTGCTCCAGAAGTCATGTCTGTAGGATGACTTCACCTTTTATGAGGTGTCTCTATCAAGGAAATTTTGGGTATACCGTGTGGTCTTTAAGTCAGACCATAAACCATATTCTACAAATTCAGGGGAAATCCACCAGCTGTAACTAAATGGCATAGTAACAGAAAAACAAAAACATCATTTCTCTTATTAGGTAACTCAGCATTCACTGAAATATTAGTTGGTCTACTGGTTTCTCTGTTGGATTGGAGAGACCCAAAATAATAGTGGCTTAAACAAGATAGAGGTTTATTTCTGTCTCAGGTAGCAAGCTGGGCATAAGTGATCCAGACTTCACATGACAGCTTTATAGGTTGGGAACCAAGGTTCCTTTTGTGTCATTGCTCTGCCTTCTTCAACATGTAGCTCTCATCTCATGGTCCATAATGGCTGCTCTAGCAATTGCCATCGCATCTGCATTCCAGCTAGCAAGAAGGGGAAAGGGGGAAGGGAAGTGCATGCCTCTTCCTTCTAAAAGCATGACTTGGAAATTGCACTTATCAATGTCTATTCATATTCCAGTAGCCAGAATGTAGTCATATGGTCATACTTAGTTACAAGAGTCTGGGAAACGTGATCTAAAATTCCTAAAAGTTATATCCCCATAGAAGGAAGGAGAATAGATATGGAAGAACAATTTTGAGTCTCATCCACATTTGAACTTTGTGAATCTTCACTGTTACATAGATGTTCTTTATCCCTTCTGTTGTGGAGTAAGCTTGCCTCCTAAGCCCTGCTGAAAACTATTAATAAAAAACAGCATGCTACACCAAAAGGTCAAACTAACCCAAATGTCCATTAATGGATAAATGGATAAACAAAATGTGTATATACATTCAATTGAATATTATTGATCCTTAAAAAGGAATGAGGTTCAAACACATGCTACGATATGCATGAACCTTGAAGACATTATGCTAAGTGAAGTAAGCCAGACACAAAAGGATAAATACTGTGTGATTCCACCCAAATGAGGTAGCTAGAGTAAACTCATAGAAACAGAAAGTAGATTAGAGGTTACCAGAGGCTGGGGGGAGAAGTGGCGGGGAGTTAGTGTTTATTGGGTATGGAGTTTCAGTTTAGGAAGACGAAAAAGTTCTGTGAATGGATGGTGGGGATGGTTGCACAACATTGTGAATGTACTTAATGTCACTGAACTGTATACTTAGAACTGTACGCACAAAACTGTACACACACAACCTACAGAATGGGAGAAAATATTTGCAGACTATGCATCTGTCAAAGGTCTAATATCCAGAGTCTATAAGGAACTTAAACAAATCAACAAGCCAAAACCAAATAACCCCATTTAAAAACAGGCAAAGGACATGAACAGACACTTCTCAAAAGAAGACGTACAAATGGTCAACACACATATCAAAGATAATGCTCATTATCACTGATTATGAGGGAAATGCAAATCAAAACCTTAACAAGATACCATCTCGCACCAGTCAGAATGGCCACTATTGAAAAGCCAAAAAACAACAGATGCTGGCGAGGCTGTGGAGAGAAGGGAACACTTACACATTGTTGGTGGGAGCGTAAATTAGTTCAACCACTATAGAAAGCAGTTTGGAGATTTCTCAAAGAACTTAAAACAGAGCCACCATTTGACCCAGTGATCTCATTACTGGGTATATTCCCAAAGGAAAATAGCTCATTATACCAACAAGACACATGTACTCACATGTGTTCATCACCCCACTATTCACAATAGCAAAGACATGGAATCAACCTAGGTGCCCATTGATGGTAGATTGGATAAAGAAAATGTTCTACATATAAACCATGAAATACTATGCAGCCGTAAAAAAGAATGAAGTCATGTCCTTTGCAGCAACATGGATGGAGCTGGAGGCCATAATCCTAAGCAAATTAATGTAGGAATGGAAAACCAAATACCATATGTTCTCTCTTACAAGTAGGAGCTAAACACTGAGCACAAGTAGACATAAACATGGGAGCAATAGACATTGTGGACTCTCAGTGGGGAGAGAGGGAAGGGTGAGGATTGAAAAACCTCCTATTGAGTACTGTGCTCACTACCTGGATGCAATATACCCATATAACAAACCTGCACCTGTATCTAACATAAAAGTTGGAATTAAAAAAATACTTACAATCGTAAATTTTATATTGCATATATTTTACCACAATCATGCTATAAAGGACCAAAGGCAGGGTTCTCTGGCATTTTAGGAGCAATGTCCCTACAGATGAAGCTACTCAACACCCTTTGGGTGAGGTTATGAAGCCAGTAATGAATCCATCTATCTGTGTTATCATTCGTATTTTTTACATCATCATGAAACTATATAGCAAGACTTGCTCAAATTCAGATATGCTGCTATTGTGGCTGTTCTTCTATTACCTCTTTAGTCAGTGAATCCATTGATCCCTATTGGCTGCTGGTGGTTCCTGGATCTTTCCCTTAGCATTCACAAACTGTCTTTTAATAATGTATAGAGAATGTTGCCAGGGGACTGGTGGACTCAGACATGTACTTTAAAAAATTCCACTTAAAAAAATTGTTTTTAAATTTTTATTTTCATAGATTTTTGGGGAACAGGTAGTATTTGGTTACGTGAGTAAGTTCTTTAGAGGTGACTTGTGAGATTTTGGTGCAGTGTACGTTGTACCTAATGTGTAGCCTTTTATCCCTCACCCACTTCCCACCTTTCCCCTGCTAAGTCCCCAAAATCCATTGTATCATTCTTATGCCTTTGCATCCGTATAGCTTAGCTCCCACTTATGAGTCAGAACATATGATGTTCGGTTTTCCATTCCTGAGTTACTTCACTTAGAATAATAGTGTCCAATCCTATTCAGGTTGCTGCAAATGCCATTACAGAATTCTCCCTTTCTTTTTCTGTTCCTCACGATGACGACAACATTTTCTAATCTGTCTCTGTCTTTCTCTGTCTCTGTCTCTTATACATCTTTCATTTTCTCTGATTCTTCAAAGATAATCGGTAGCAGCTCCCTTTCACAACCTCAAGTTTCTTTATGACTCTGAGATGCCTTTATTCTCTTCTGCAATCCTAAACTCATTTTCAGCAGCAAGCCTCCCTATTTGGCATCAGATGTTTCAATATCGGACCCTTTCCCCGCAATCTACCTTTCACCCTGTGGCTGGTACAACCTTCCAAATCCAAAAGCTGATGTGTCATTCACCAGCTCGAAATTTAGCAGTGGCTCCACATGGCGCTTGAGTAAACCCTTAAGCACTTAGCTTGGCAGATAAGGCTGTTCACAGTCTACCATGCCAGCCCATGCAGCATCATCTCCCAGCGTGCCCCATGTCATGCCTACCCTTCAGTAGGGCTGAACTGCCAGCATTTCCCTAAAGGAACCATGCTGTCTCCCGCCTCTTGCCTCAGTTTATTTTCCTACCATGAGATTCATGCCTGAATCTCACCCAGGGCAGCTCCTCCTTCCTGAAATGTTATCTCGGGAGTCACCTTTTTGGAGAAGCTTTGCTAATAGACATTCTCCCTCCTCCAAGTTCCTATGGCACCTGTCCCATATTAGCCTCCACTGGGACACCTAACCCACTGGGTAGTTTCTAGTTTGAGAGTTATTTTGGATGGTGCTTCTCTGAACTTCCTGTTGCATGTCCACTGGGCATGTAGCTAGGAGGCATATACCTGGGGCCTGGAGCATGCTGAAGTTGAGCTTTAGGGTCTGATAGAGCATCTTCCACTGGGTATGTTGTCGTACCAGCGTACATTCCCCGCAGCAGCCGTGAGGGTTTGCGTGGCTTCACATCCTCACAACAGTGCTTTTTTTTGCCTTTTTCATTTTGGCCCTTCTGCTGGGTGTGTAGTGGTATTGCCTTGTGGTGGGAATGTGCACTTCCCTTCTGACTAATGAAGCGGAGCACCTCTCCACATGTTTAGTGGCCATTTGGACACCCTCTTCTGTGAAGCGTCTATTCAAGCCTTTTGTCCAGTTTTCTACTGGGTTGTCTTTTTCATATTTTTCTGTTGCTCCTTCACATTGTGTAGTGACCTCTCAATCCTCCTCCTGGCCACGAGCTCTGTGAGATTTCTGGACCCCCAGTGCCTAGTGAAGTCCCTCAAATAGTAGACCCTCAATACATATTTTCTGCTGACTAAATAAAACATCTGTGATTCATGCTTTCCAGTGGGTTAACCATTCTCCTTACAATGGTAAAGCTTATCATGGTAAAGCTTTAGCTCCTACTTATAAGTGGAGGAAAAGATGGAGGCAACATAGGAGCGCATTTCGGCTTTCTCTCATGCGTCGGCCACTGTCTTGAGTTACTGGCCTGATTTCTTCTGGTTTGGACTCTGAAAATAGCTTTACGGGTCCTTTTTGATGTATGCTGCATTTTTCTTTTTCTTTTCTTTTCTTTTCTTTTTTTTTTTTTTTTTTTTTTTTAAGACGGAGTCTCGCTCTGTCGCCCAGGCTGGAGTGCAGTGGCTCAATCTTTGCTCACTGCAAGCTCCGCCTCCCGGGTTCACACCATTCTCTTGCTTCAGCCTCCCAAGTAGCTGGGACTACAGGCGCCCGCCACCACACCTGGCTAATTTTTTGTGTTTTTAGTAGAGATGGGATTTCACCGTGTTAGCCAGGATGGTCTGGATCTCCTGACCTTGTGATCCACCGGCCTCGGCCTCCCAAAGTGCTGGGATTACAGGCATGAGCCACCGCACCCAGCTGCTGTATTTTTCTTAAGGCTTGCTTTCATGATACGCTCATTCTCTCTCTTTCGTATCACCTTAACTTGGGGACCTTGATTCCATCTTGACGTATGCCCCAGGAAGTCACACTGGCTCCTTCACATTTCCGCCTCTTTTCTCCCTTGTGACACTCTCTGACTTGCCTTCAGAGCTTAATTTTCCATTTTCTTTCCCTGTTAAGCCACCCTCTCTGACTTCCAGCCTCTTGTTGTTGTTGTTGTTTTAATAGACTAGATACGCACGGAAACAATTCCCAGCCCCTTGGATAGCTGCTTTCATAAAGTCTATGACTCGCGTCTGACTATGTCTAGCATTTTCTTCCGTGATTACTACAAACCCCAGTCATGGGTCCTTTTCTCCCCATTTTCCTCTCACTGCTATTTCACAAAGCTTTCATTGTTCTTGGTGAGAATTAAAGGCAGAAGATAGGACAGTAATCTTCCTCATCACTAACTTGACCTTCCAACAGATGAGATGACCGAGGAGCAGGGATTCATTTAAGAGCCCGGCTCCAACCTAATCAGCTACCAAGCTGCTATCCAGGCAAAGATTCTGCCAGTCCTAAACCTTGGCTCTAGGTTCATTTTTTGATGCACACGAGAAAAGCCGCATCTGTATCTCAGTCAGGCGGGGTGTGTGATCCCATCCCATGCGCTTCTCTCTCATCTTCCTTCAAACCTCTTCATCTTTCAATTCATTCATTCAGCAAATTATGTGCCAGGCACTCAGCTGGACCCTCATGGAGCTCACATTCTAATGGGGCTGGGAGTTACAGAAATATAATGAGAACAGTACAAAAGCAAAATGTATCGTATGTCCATGGGTGAGGGAGATGTGGGAAAAAGTAAGGCAGGAGGCAGCCGAGATGGGGCTTGTCAGGAGTCCTCCTTGAGAACAGAAGAAGGGAAACAAGTGAAGGAGTGAGCCAGGCAGACACCTAGAAGAAGAGCACTCAGGCAGAGAGAACGGCAGGCGCGAAGGTCCTGAGGCAGGAGAGGCAGGAGTGGGCTGCTGTGCTGCTGTGGTCATTCGAGTCCTCAGAACATGGCGGGGCACATGCTGGCATGTGAGCAGCTCAGCATTTGAAATGAAGTGCAGTGTATTAGTCATCTTTGCAGCTACCACAACACGCAGCAAAGCATCTTGTGCTCATATTCACTTGGTAAGAATTTTTATTTGAGTAAACACACTTAGGTTGGACAGCCTCTGAGGGCCCTTCTGCCTCTGAATTGCTGTGATTATCTTGGATGCCTTATGGATGGTGCTGTCTCATAGTAGTTTTCTTAGGTGCCTGGCAGACGGCGCCATCTCCTAGTAGTTTTCATAGGTGCCTGGTGGATGGCACCATCTCCTAGTAGTTTTCTTAGGTGCCTGGTGGATGGTGTCACAGTAATTTTCTTTCTAGTAGTTTTCTTTCTAGCTTTTCCATCTGGACTTTTCTGAACACGTGGTCTAGTGGCTTCTGGGCATGTGACCTGATCTCGGTAAGCGGCTGGCACTCACACCAGATGGACCTGGTCTCGGTAAGGGGCTGGCAGTCACACCAGATGTGTATGTTCCAGATACATTGCTGTGTAACTACCTACCTATCCCAAAATGCAGCAGTGTAAGATTGCAACGGTTTTATTATGCCCGTGGATTCTGTGGGCCAGGAATTTGGGCTGGGCACAATAGGGATGACTTGCCTGTGTTCAGTGATGTCTGGGGTCTCAGCTGGGAAGATCAAACGGCTGGTAACTGAAACTGTAAATGAGAATGCCTACAAGGGGCCTCTCCATGTGGTTTGGGCTTCCTTACATCATGGCAACGTCCAGATGGATAATCTAATTTCTCACTTGATGGCTCAGAGCTCCAAGTTCAAACCTTCTGGCAAACAAGACAGTAGCTGCATGGTCTTTAGTGACCTAGCCTTGGAAGCCACACAGCATCACTTCCGCTATAATCTGTTTTGATTGTGGCAGTCACAAGCCCACCCAAGTTTAAGGGGATGGGAATAGATTCCACCTCTTGATGGAGAAGTGGCAAGGCTGTAATGTAAAGGAGAGGTGGGATGGGAGCTATTGTTGGGATCATCTTTGGGACATAAAATCTTATAAGTACTTTCTATTTTTCTGGGGAGGAGTTCTCATTTTGTGTTGTTTCTGGACTACGGTGGATTTGAGATGTCTGCTTTGCCTCCTGTCTAGCAGAAACTCCCAGTGCAAGGTGGTTGCTGTGATGCCCAGCCTTCCTCTTCCCACTGCTGCTAGCAGTCCTGTCCCAGGCTCTCTCTGGGTCACCAGTGAAGCCTCGCTTATGAAGGAGTAGCCAAGGGGCTGCCAGGTGGAGGGAATACAGCCCTGGGACCAGTTTCTCATTCCCTGAAGGGTGTGAGTGTGTGTGTGTGTGGCTGGGGTGGGAGGCAGACCTACTGATTGTAAGGGAAGAATCTCTTGGAGCTAGTGTCAATCAAATGACCCACCCCAGTGGCTGGTTTCCTGGCACAACTCCTAGGCCTTAGCTGTGCCTCTTGAGTGTATAGGAAGCCAGGGCCTGCCAGGGAGTGAGTGTTCCTGCAGCTGGGGAGGATGTAGATCCCCTCTTCGAAGTGGGGTGAGGGGCCGAGCCAGGGTTTGGCTAGAAGCCTGCCACAGCTGAAACAATGAGAAAGCTTTGCCAGGTCTCTGGGCTGCTCCACAGCAGGGCTTCCTGGACCCCCAAGCACCAGCATCTTCCTGGAGAGGAAGAACCTCTTCCACACCCTGACTTTCTCAAGTGTATTCATTTGCTGTGGACTTGCTGGACGTTCATCTGCTAACCTCAGCAGGAAATTGCGGAACTAACACATTAGGGCGTAAGTGTAGGCCATTTTTCCCCAGTCACATGTCTCAGTGCCTAGGTGTAGGTCCCTGGATATAGTTACCTGTGTGCCACTATCACAAAGTTCCAGGATGGCTAGATATAGGAGGGTCCCAAGAATTGCACTTGAGAAGGCTGAGGAACTCTCCAGCTCCGTGTCCTGGTACTTCCGTTAGGATCACCCGTGTTCCTGCCCTAGCCAGGTGCCTTTGAAGCCTGAAGACAGGTCTGGAGAGTAAAGATGGATATAGGAGTGGTCCCATGTTCCCATTTCACCAGAGGGTATGTTCCCACTCTTCATTCCCCAGGGAAGGAAAAACACAACCTCATCATTCCAGAATAAAATCATGGAATGCTAGTGCCTGAAGGAGCTTTATTCATAAATTAATTCATCTTGCTCCCTTTACAGAGGATGTGCTTCTGATGATGGGCACACAACAGATGCTCAGCAAGTATGTTCCCTGTTTGAGAAATCACCACAATGCATCATTCTGCATGAAGACACATGCATGCATATGTTCATTGCAGCACTATTCACACAGCAAAGACATGGAATCAACCTAAATGCCCATCAACAGTAGACTGGATAAAGGAAATGTGGTACATATACACCATGGAATATTATGTAGCCATGAAAAAGAACAAGATCATGTCTTTTGCAGAAATGTGGATGGAGCTATTATTCTCAGCATAATAGATAACATAATAGAATAACAGGATGTCTGTTATTCTTAGCAAACTAATGCAGGAACAGAAGACAAAATACATGCTCTCACTTATAAGTGGGAACTAAATGATGAGAACTCATGGACACAAAGAAAGGACCAACAGACACTGGGGCTTACTTGAGAGCAGAGGGTGGGAAGAGGGAGAAGATCAGAAAAAAATAACTATTGGGTACTAAGCTTAGTACCTGGGTGACGAAGTAATCTGTCCAATAAACCCCCGTGACACGAGTTTACCATAACAAAACTGCACATGTACCCCCGCACCTAAAATAAAAGTTAAAAAAAAAAAGGAGTATATTCCCTAGGGTACAGCAGACAATGTTTCAGAATTATTGTCAATTTGCCAGGTGTGGTCAGGTTGGAAGGTTGGAGAATGTTTCTTTTATTTATTTTTTCTTTTTTTAGATGGAGTCTTGCTCTGTCACTCAGGCTGGAGTGCAGTGGCACAATCTCGGCTCACTGCAACCTCTGCCTCCTGGGTTCCAGCGATTCTCCTGCCTCAGCCTCCTGAACAGCTGGGACTGCAGGTGCGCGCCACCACACCCAGCTAATTTTTGTACTTTTTAGTAGAGACGGGGTTTCACCCATATTGGCCAGGCTGGTCTCGAACTCCTGACCTGATGATGCATCCGCCTCGGCCTCCCAAAGTGCTGGGATTACAGGCATGAGCCACCGCGCCCAGCCAAGAATGTCTCTTTTCTTGAGAGATGTGTGCTCAAGTATTAGATTGAACCCCACGAAATTGCTAATATCTTCTCATGTTTAATATGATTCAATCAAGGCCAGGCATGGTGGCTCACACCTATAATCTCAGCACTTTGGGAGGCCAAGGCAAGGCAGGAGGATTGCTTGAGGCCAGGAGTTTGAGACCAGCCTGGACAACGTATTGAGACTCCATCTCTACAAAAACAAACAAACAAACAAAATTAAAAATTAGCCAGGCTTTGTAGTGCACACCTGTAGCCCCAGCTACTCAGGAGGCTGAGGTGGGAGGATTATTTGAGCCTGGGAGTTCAAGGTTGCAGTGAGATGTGATTGTGTCACTGCACTCCAGCCTGTGCAACAGAGCGAGACCCTGTCTCCTGACGAAAAAAAAAAGAAAAAGAAAAAGGTTCAAGCTGATGTTTAGGAGTGATGTGCTATGATGTCCACAGCCTGCAACTCACTTTCAAATGTTTTAGCAAAGTGTGTGTGTGTGTGTGTGTGTGTGTATGACGTGATCTGCTTTGTCCAGCTGGCGCAGCAGCCAAATAAGAATAAGGCTGACAGGGCCGGGTGCAGTGGTTCACACCTGTAATCCCAGCACTTTGGGAGGCCGAGGCGGGCGGATCATGAGGTCAGGAGATCGAGACCATCCTGGCTAACACGGTGAAACCCCTTCTCTACTAAAAAATACAAAAAATTAGCCGGGCGTGGTGGCGGACGCCTGTAGTCCCAGCTACTCAGGAGGCTGAGGCAGGAGAATGGCGTGAACCCGGGAGGCGGAGCTTGCAGTGAGCAGAGATCGCACCACTGCACTCCAGCCTGGGCGACAGAGCGAGACTCTGTCTCAAAAAAGAAAGAAAGAAAGAAAAAGAATAAGGCTGACAGGAGATGAAGGCTGCATAGCTTCCCTCTGTCTTCCTTCCTCCCACCCAAGACACCTCACCCCCTCCTGCAGACTGTCTTTTGAACCTGCCCCTGTCAGGGTGTTGGTGGGGCTGAGCAGAGCTCCTGCAGATGGGGGGTTGTGGCATGGGTGAGGTGGCAGGAATGGGTGAGGCAGCAGTGGGGGCAGGAGCTGCAAGGAGGCTCCGACTATGGGTGGAACAGAGAAGAGGCTGCAGGGTGGGGGCAGGGAGGGGCTCTCCAGGGGCAGCTGTGTATTTCTGGATGGGGTCAGGCCGGCAGAGGTCAGGTGTGGTTTCCTGGGAGGTGGCCAAGATAGGAAGGGGCACAGGTCCTGGGGTCACTAGACTGATTTCAGCCCCAGCTCGAGGGTCTGCCCTTCCCTCTAGGGGCTTTTGAAAGACCCCAGGACCCTGTGAGACCCTCTGCAATGGAAGGGAGAGAAGCTGGAGATGGGATGGGAGATGAGGGCCCCGTTGTGAGGAGCTGGCAGGGTGACCTCGCCTCTACCTGAGCTGTCAGCTCCCTGTCTCCAAGGAAACCCGGCCCCCTGAGCCTCCCTGAAGCCCCCACGCCCATCTAACGGGAAATTCTCAGAGAATTCAGATGGTCATGGGAAAGTCCATACATGTAAATCCTCCCGAAGGGTCTTCTGAGTAAATAGGGGGATCTTTCTGTTTTCCCCTGTCCTACTGCCTGCATCTCGATGCCTGCATTAATGCAGCAGGCAGGATTGAGGGAGGCCGTAGGATGAACTGGCTGACAGGTGGTGACAGGTTGATATCCACAGGCCGCAAGCAGCAGGGACAACCACGGCAGGTGTTCCCTAGAGGGTTCCTGGCCACACTCCTCTCGGGATCATTGCCCTGCAGACCCTGCCGCCTGCCCCGCCACATCCTGTGCCACGGTGCCGCGTGGGCCGCTCTCGAAGCACAGGCCAGATGTGCAAATTCTGCGGCTGTGCCTGGGGGCAAGCGCAGCACAGCTTGCTTTTCTTGGAAATCATTGGTGATTTGTTAGAAAAACAGGAAACATTGGGGCTGCTGGTGTACATTTTGACTTTTTTGTTTTTGTTTTTGAACTCCTTTCATCTGTCTCAGAATCAGGGTGTTTTAAGGGTATTATTCTGTTCAACTTAGTCCTTCAAGCCGTCTCTGGTCACTCTTCCCTCTCTGCACATCCCCTTTTTTTCTTTCTCCTTCTTGTCTTCTGCTGCCTTCTTCCCCCAACCCGAATCACTGCGTGGGGAGGGGGCCAGATCCAGAGAACCATGGAAATGTGCTGGTGAGTCACCTTGGCCACGTGCCTCTGTGGAGCCTGGCCTCCCTGCACCTGCCTCCCTACTCTCTGCCTCCCCACCAACCCCATATCTATCCCGCTACACCCCTCAGTCATGGTGGTTAGACAGGAAGCAAAGTGGTCTCTGCACAGTAGGACCTGCTGCAACTGGGACAGCTGGAGTGGCTCCCATTGTCCTGCTGCTGACACACAGGGATGCTGTGGCTGTGATCAGAAGTTGTTCTTCCCTGCTGGGTCACAGTGGAGCTGGAGGGGCCCTCATTTCTTTACCCACTGGAACACTGAGGCTGAGAGAGGAGCGGGGATGCCTTGAATAAAGAAGAGGAAGGGGTGAGGAGGTCTGGGTCCACACTCTGGCTGTGTCCCAACTCAGCTCCTCCCTGCCTCTCTCTCAAAAACACAGCAGGGGCCAGGCACAGTGGCTCGCACCTGTAATCCCAACACTTTGGGAGGACGAGGCAGGCAGATCACCTGAGGTTAGGAGTTTGAGACCAGCCTGGCCAACGTGGTGAAACCCTGTCTCTACTAAAAATACAAAAATTAGCCAGGCATGATGGCTCATGCCTGTAATCCCAGCTACTCGGAAGGCTGAGGCAGGAGAATCACTTGAACCTGGGAGGCGGAGGTTGCAGAGCCGAGATTGCACCAGTGCACTCCAGCCTGGGCAACAAGAGCAAAACTTTGTCTCTAAAAACAAAAACAAAAACAAAAAACAAACAAACAAAAAAACCTTAGCAGGCAGGAGGCTGGGAACTGTGGTCGTTTTGTGTATGGGATCTTCAGGAAAGTGTTACAAGGCTGCTGTTTGCTGGCGTCCCTTCGTGAGTTTTCCTGGGTCCCATCTTGTCAGGGATGAGCTCTTGAGGATGGCCGGTGGTTGCTTTGGGATTGTTCTTAAGCCTTCTTGCAGCAGCTCTGAACTTCATAATGTACCACGGTGGAGAGACTCCTCTCCCATTTTATGGTCAAGTAAACAGGTCCAGAGAGGTTCTCCATTCCCTAAACAGGCCCCAGTGAGGTGAGAAGGGCAGGGCCTCCCACGTGCCCAGCTGCTTGCCCCAGGTTGGGGGCTCTTCCCTGCTGGGCTCTGCTCCTGGGTTTTCATCAATGCAGGAGGCTCTGACACCACACCTTCAGCCAGGCCCCCATCTCCCAGGGGAAGCAGGCTTAGGGGCTGCCCTTGTGAAGTCATACAAGAAGCCTGATATGAGAGATTAGAAACTCCCCGCAGCTCTCTGGGGGTTGTTTTTAAAAGGAATTAAACTGTCCTGAGAGAGATGTGTAAGACTAAGCTGAGATGGGGACCACCATGAGAACTGAAACACTCTATTTGGAGCTTTCCAGAAATACGCAGATTTGAGGAATTCTGGAGTAGGGAAGGACATTGGGGCAGGAAGGTGACCCCTTCTCACACCAGGACTCCAGAATACATGAATATCAAAAGGCAATGACAGTCCCTGGGAGAGGGAGGGGCCACGTTCCCATTCCTCTTGGCTGCACAGCTTCTGGGGAGCAGAGATTCTCAGCCAGGCATCCGTGAACTTGGATGGAGAACACGTGGCATCGTTATTTTCACTCACCTGTAACTGAAGTTCGCATTTGAACGTAGGCAAAAACCACAGTCATATCAGTAGCACCTGTGACTTTGTCACCAACAGAAATCCAGATGTTTTCGTGTCACTTTGAGGTTGCAGATACCTCAAATGTCATTCATGCTCTTTACTACGTTTAGGTGATCACAGTGATTAGACTCACTGCTGGGCTTTTATTATTTCATGTGTTAATGAGAAGAACGTATACTCCCATTTCATAAATCTGATGATTTAAAAATAGTTTGACCATTGTATTTCAGTGTAACTCATTTCCTTTGCAATTCTGTGTATTTTATTTCATGCATTTAAAGCATTATTCTGAAGAGGGGTCTGTAGATGTCAGACTGCTGAATGGTCCCATGGTGCAAAAAAGTTTAGGAATTCCTACTGCTGGAGCAATTGGGTAGAGAATTCGAGGTGTTACCTGACAGCTGGGGAGGGCTTTGGTGTTCGGCAGGCCTGAGTTAGCATCATTGCTCTCACTTGCTGCAGATCCTGAGAAAGTGACTTTATCTCTCAGAGCCATCGTTTCCTTATGTGTAAAACAGAGATGAAGAATGACCACCTGGAAGGATTGTCCCATGTGAAAGTGCCTGCCTCTTCCAGCAGCTGACAGGTAGTAGGAACTCACTGTGGGTAGTAGCTGATGGCGGTGGCACCAGCTTATGTAAGCCCACAAGACTCAAGCAGGATTCTCTTTTTACAGAGGAAACTCCAGGCTACGTTCATTTCTTACTGTCCCTCATGTAGAAAGGTAAACTTGGGTCATACCTGGATACTGTCTCTCATCTTTTTCTTTTGCTCTGAGCAAGTAGCTCCCATGTATCCAATATGAATCTTGGTCCATAAATTCAAGCATTTGAGAAATAAAATTACAAATATATACTTGAAATGCTTCAAGTGTATCTGAGAAATTCTTGGTATGTCCACACAGTGAAATATTACTCAGTCATAAAAAGGAGTAAGTACTGTTACATACTACGACATGGATGAACCTAGAAAACATGCACTAAGTGAAACAAACCAGATGCAAAAGACCACATATCATAAGACTTCATTTATATGAATTGTCCAGAATAAGCAAACCCATAAAGACAAAAAGTAGATGACTGGTTGCCAGAGGATAAGGGGAGGGAGAATGGAGAGTGATTGCTAATAGGTATAGGGTTTCTTTTTGGAGCGATGAAAATATTCTGGGATCAGATAGTTGTGATGGTTACATACTTAGTGAGTATAGTAAAAGCCGCTGAAGGGTATTCTTTAAAATGTTGAGTTTACGTTACATGAATTACAGCTCAAGAAAAAAAGTAAAAATCACTGCCAAACCTATGGACATTGAAAAGATAATAAAGGAATATTATGAACAACTCTATGCCCACCAATTTGCTAACTTAGATGAAATGGAATAATTTCTTATTTCTATTAAAACTCATACAAATAGAAGTAGATTATCTGAATAGGCCTATATCTATTAAATAAATTGAATCAATAATCTTCCAAAACAAAAAAGTTTCAGGCCCAGATGGTTTCACTGGTGAATTCTACCAAACATTTAAAGAAAAAATGGCCGGGTGCGGTGGCTCACATGTGGAAGCCCAGCACTTTAGGAGACTGAGGCAGGCAGATCACCTGAGGTCAGGCGTTCAAGACCAGCCTGGCCAACATGGTGAAACCCCGTCTTTACTAAAAATACAAAAAATTAGCTGGGTGTGGTGGCAGGTGCCTGTAATCCCAGCTACTCAGGAGGCTGAGGCAGGAGAATCACTTGAACCCAAGAGGTGGAGGTTGCAATGAGCCGAGATTGTGCCATTGCACTCCAGCCTGGGCAACAAGAGTGAAACACACACACACACAAAAGAAAAAATGATGGCAACTCTCTACAGTCCATTCCAGAAAATAGAAGAAGAGGGAGTGCTTCCTAACTCATTCTATGAGGCCAGCATTACCTAATACCAAAACCGGACAAAAATATTACAAAAAACGAAAACTACAGATCAATATCTTTCATTAATATAGGTGTAAAAATCCTCAATAAAACATTAGCAAATTGAATCCAACGATACACGAAAAGAATTATAGATCACAGCTAAGAGGGATTTATTCTGGATATACAAGGCTGATTCAATATTTGAAAGTCAACTAACGTAGTTAATTACATCAACAGGCTGAAGAAGAAAAATCATAAAACTAGATACAGAAGAAACATTTGATAAAGTCCAATACCCATTTATGATAAAAATTCTCATCACACTAGAAATAGAGAGGAACTTCTTCAGCTTGATAAATACTTATACAGAAAACGTACAGCTAACATTATGGTGAGAAACTAGATGTTTTCCCCCTAAGACTGGGACCAAGGCAAAGATGTCTTCACTTACCACTCATATTTAACATCGTACTGGAAGTCCTACGTAAAGCAAAAATATAAGAAAAGGAGATGAAAGGTATACAGATTGGGAAGGAAGTTTCTGTTCACCAAATAACATGATTGTCTATGTATAAAATCCCAAAGAATCAACAATGACAAAAAACAACATTCCTGGAACTAAGCAATTATAGTAAGGTTTCAGAGTGCAAGATAAATACACAAAAGTCAAGTGCTTGCCTATATACCAGCAATGAACAATTGGAATTTGAATTAAAAATACAATACCATTTACACTAGCACCAAAAAATGAAATAATCAGATATGAATCTAACAAAATATATACAAGATTTATATGAGAAAACAATAAAATGGATAAAAAAATCTACAGAAATCTAAATAAATGGAGAGGTATTCCATGTTCATGTATAGAAAGACTCACTATTGTTAAGCTGTCAGTTCTTTTAGTTTTATCTCTAGACTCGATGCAATCTCTATCAAGACTCCAATAAATTACTTTGTGAATATTGACAAACTCATTCTAACACTTATATGAAAAGAAAAAGACCTAGAATAAACAACACAACATTGAAGAAGAACAAAGTCAGAAGACTGACATTACTAACTTACTAAGACCTGCTATAGAGACTTGTAAGACTTACTATAAAGGTGCATCCATACAATGGAATATTATTCAGTGGGAAAAAGAAAAGAGCTATCAAGCCATGAAAAAACATGAAAGAATCTTAAGTGCATGCATATTGCTAAATGAAAGAAGCCAATCTGAAAAAAACTACATACTGTATAATCCCAACTATGTGATGTCCTGGAAAAGGCCAATCTATGGAAGCAGTAAAAAAGAAGAATGGCTACCAGATGCTGGAGGGAGTAGGATGAATAGATGGAGTATAGGGGATTTTCTGGGCAGTGAAAATATTCTGTGATACTGTAATGTGTATTGATATTATATATTTGGAGAAACTCATAGAATTGTACAACACAAAGAGTGCACCCTAACGCACACTGTGGACTTCAGTGACTACTCTTGTATCAATATTGGTTTATTAATTTTAACGAATGAACCGCACTAATGGAAGATATTAATAATAGAGGAAACTGTGGGTGGGAGGAGGAAGGAGAGGGAGTATATAGGAACTCTCTGTACTTTAATATTTCTATAAACCTAAAACTACTTTAAGAATTAAAGTCTATAAAAGAAATAGAAATAAACATTGTCTCCTTTTTTTTTTTTTTTTTGAGATGGAGTCTCGGTCTGTCACCCAGGCTGGAGTGCAGTGGCGCAAGCTCAGCTCACTGCAATCTCCGCCTCCCGGGTTCACGCCATTCTCCTGCCTCAGCCTCCCGAGTAGCTGGGACTACAGGTGCCCGCCACCACGCCCGGCTAATTTTTTGTATTTTTAGTAGAGATCGGGTTTCACTGCGTTAGCCAGTATAGTCTCGATCTCCTGACCTCGTGATCCGCCCGCCTCAGCCTCCCAAAGTGCTGGGATTACAAGCGTGAGCCACCATGCGTGGCCTTGTCTTCTTATGTTGACTGAAATCCGATGCCAAGCCCCATCCTGCCAGGAGCTGTCCGGGAGCTCAGAGCTGTTCACTTTCCTGCCACAAACCTTCCTCAGGATGGTTGCCTTCTTATTTAGCATGGGGATAGGGTGAGGGGAGAGCACAATGTACAGAAAGAAATAAATTAATAGAAATATAAATTATCCTGTATTTGTACTCTGAGGTCTTAGGAACAGCTCCGGGGAAGCTTGGGTTCTGACCTGAATCTCTTCCTTTGGCCTCTGGCAGAGGAAACAAGGAAGGAAGCAGGTCTCCCAGGCAACCTGCCCACACTGTGGGTGGCCAAAAACGACTCGTTCAACACCTCTGAAGACTGACTCACTGGGACGTTGCAATAGACGTGATTTCCCCTTGAAGCCAGAGGAATATCCCCTATTGCTCATATGGTCATAACATCATGGGCCTATATTTGGGCGGGGCTTTCGTTTGCACACTCATGTAACTTTCCAGGGAGAATCTGCCCAGACCCTGTGCCAGGCACTGGGGTTAGAACCATTATGTTAGATGGGACATTGACGTCAGAGTTGAAAGCCCGCTAGAGAAATAGGCAGTTATAACGCAGGCACAGTGGAAGCAGAGATGCTCTGGGAGCTGAAAGGGTGGGGGTGGACATCCAGCCAAGCCTGGAGGTCAGAAGATCTCCCCTGAAGAAGTGACCTGGAAATGGAAGACAGAAGAATGCATATTAAGATCCACATCAGAAACAGGGGAACATGGTGGAAATGTTTCAGGCAGAGGCAGCACATGCAGGAAGAAGTTTTATGGAGAGGAAAGGTAGAGGTTTGAGACTGACTAGAGAAGAAGGGCACAGAACTCTTGGGGTCCAGTGAGCCATGTTATGGGCTTGAGTTTTGACTCAAGGCAATGAAAACCCAAAGGAAAGGTTTCAGAGGGCTGGGAGAGAATGATGTAATCAGATATGCTTTCTCAGGGACAACCGTGCATAGAACAACATGTATACTATGGTTCTATTTATGTTTAAAAACCCATGATACGACTTATTGTGTTGATCTACGTGTGCTTAAATCGTCAGTACCAGATTGTCTTGATTACTGTAGCCCTAGAGCAAATCTTGAAGTCAGATAGGATGAGTCGTCCAACTTTGTCCTTTTCCCAAACTGTATTAGCTATTTTAAGTCTTTGGTATTTCCATATACCGAAGGCATGTTATTCATTTCTATTTTTTAAAGTTTGCTGAGATATTGACTGGGATTGCATTGAATCCATAGATGAACTTGGAGGAAAACTGACATAATATCAATATTGAGTCTTCTGACTCATAAATGTGGCATATCTCTCCACGTATTCATTGATTTATCTTAGCAATGTCTTGTAGTTTTAATGGTGGGGGTTTTCCACATTCTTTGGTAAATTCCCTAAGAATTTTGGCTTTTTGATGCTATTATGAATGGTGTTTCTAAAAACTTCACTTTCAAATTGGTAGTTATTAATATGTAGAAGTACAATTGACTTTTAAATACTGACTTTGTATTCTGTAACCTTGATAAATTCGCTAATGGTAGTTTTTAATAGATTCCTTAGGATTTTCTAAGTATACAGTCATGTCATCTCAGAGTAAAGACAGCATTACTTCTTCCTCCCTGATATATACGTGTTTTTTCCTTGCCTCATGGCAATGGCTATGACCTCCAGAACAATGTTGAGTAGGTAAGAACAGACATCCTTGCTTTGCTCCCAATAGTAGGTGAAAAGCGTTCAGTTTTCACCTTTAAGTATGATGTTAACTGTAGATTTTTCATAGATGCTCTTTATAAGTTTGAGCAGTTCCCTCTTACTGAGGGTTCTTATAAACGGGGGTTGAGTTTTTTCAAAGGCTTTTTATGCATTCATGAAGTAGTTATGTGATTTTTTTTCACTCTTCTTTATTAATGTGGTGAATTACATTAATTTTTGAAAGTTGACTTTCAGTACAATGACTTTCAGTACAACAACTTTCCAAGTACAGCATTCCAAGTGGGTAAGTCCCATTTGGTCTTTTTATATATTTTTACTTATTTCGGAAATGATTATATTTATATATTTCTAGACTTCATTTTTAATTGTTTTGATAAGAATTTTTGCATCTTGAAATGTAAAATGAGAGATATTGATCTGTACTATTCTTTGTTTGGTAGTGTTCTTGTCTGGTTTTGACATCAGGATTATGCTGGTTTCATCAATGAATTGGGAAGTGTTTCCTCTTCCTCTATTTTATGAAGGAATTTGAGTAAGATTGATATTATTTCTTTCTTAAAGGTTTGATACAATAGCTTTTTAAAAAGCATTTTTAGTAATACATGTCTGCTGGTGACCATCTTTTCAGCATCTTTTTGTCTTCAAATGTCTTTATCTTCATTATTTAAAAATATTGTTTTACCTATAACTTTCTTCACTTCCCAACCCTTTGATTATTTTTATAGTTCTTTTCATGAAAAATTTACAAACATTAAAATGTAAAAAATTTAACTGTACAATTTTGACAAATGTGTACATCCATGTCATCCACAGACCTAACAATATATAAAACATTTCAATCACACCATTAAGTTTCCTAACTTTTGTTTTTGAAGAATATTTCCACTGGATATAGAATTTTAGGTTGAAAGTCCTTTTTTTGTTTTGTTTTTCTTTAAGCACTATAAAGATGTATATCACTCTATCCTAGTTTGTGTTGTTTCTAAGAAGTCAGTAGTTTTTCTCGTTGTTTTCTACATACAATGTGTCTTTTTCTTCTGGCTGCTTTTTGAGATTTTCTCTTTATCTTTGATTTTCAGCAATTAACTATGATATACCTAGGTCTGGTTTTCTTTGCACGTATCCTTCTTGGGTTTTTAGAGCTTCCCAGATCTATGGGTTCATATTTTTTATTAAATTTGGGAACATTTTGGCCATTATTTCTTAAAATATTTTTTTCTGCACCCATTTTCTTTCTTCTCTCTTTTTGAGACATCAATTACATATCTATTAGAACTTTTGGTTGTGCTCAGAAGTCACTGAGGCTCTGTTCATATTTTGAAAACCTTTTTTATTTTCTATATTTTAGTTTGAATGGTTTCTATCGTTTAAGTTCACTGATCTTATTCTTGCAGTGTCCAGTCTTTTATTCAGTCCATCCAATGAACTTTTCTTTTCAGAGATTGTGTTTCCTTTTGGTAATAGATTTCCATTTGGTTCTTTTAAAAATAGCTTCCAGGCCGGGTGCGGTGGCTCACACCTGTAATCCCAGCACTTTGGGAGGCCGAGGTGGGCAGATCACCGGAGGTCAGGAGTTCGAGACCAGCCTAACCCACATGGTGAAACCCTGTCTCTATTAAAAATACAAAAATCAGCTGGGCATGGTAGTGCATGCCTGTAATCTCAGCTTCTTGGGAGGCTGAGGCCAGGAGAATTGCTTAAACCTGGGAGGCAGAGGTTGCAGTGAGCCGAGATCACGCCACTGCACTCCAGCCTGGGCAGCAGAATGAGACTCTGTCTCAAAAATAAAAAAAAAAAGGTTTCCAATTCCCTTCTGAGATTTCTCCATCTGTTAACTTGCTCTGTCCATTTTTCCTTGAAATCTCTGAACATATTTATAATAGATGTTTTAAAGTCTTTGCCTCCTAATTTCAACATACCTACTCTCTTTGGTTTTTATTCATTGAATTACTTCCCTAGTAATGAATTGCATTTTTCTTCATCTTCATCTGTCTAGTAATTTTTTCAGTGTATTCTAGGCATTATGGATGCCACACTGTTGAGCGTCTGGATTTTCTTGTTTTTCTTTAAAGAATTGTATTCTGCCAGGCAGTTAATTTATAGGTGGATAAGCAGGATCCTTTCAAGTGTTTCTTAAAATTTAATGGATGTCTAGATGTCAAGAATTACCTTCCTAGGATCTCAGATGAATGACTGAGGTATCCAGTGAAGTTCCTCCACCCTGGCTGATTGGAAATCCAATGTCTCCCAGCACTGTGCAACTTCTAGAACCTCTGTTCAACTCCAGGCTTTCCAGTAGCTGTTTCTGCCAGGCTTCATGAGGTCTTACCCTGCACAGCTTAGTATTCAGCTAATGTCTTCTTGAGCTCTTCTTTTTCACGTTTCCCTCTTTTCCAGTTCCTTGCCCCACACAGTCCAGCCATTTGTAGAGTTCCAAACTCCAATTTCTGTCTCCTCAACTCGGAAAGCCCCCTGTACTCTGCTTGCATTCTACCTCTATGCTTCAAACAACGGAAGTGCCTTCCAGCAGAAACCCAGCGAAATCAAGAGGCTCCCCTTGTGTGTTTCCCTTCCCTGAGGGATTACAGTCCTGTGCTTGCCTGTTGCCCAGTGTCTATAAACAGTTGCTTCAGCTGTTTTGGGTAGTCTTATAATTGTTCATGGAGGGAGGCTTAGTCCAGTGCCAATTATCCCTTCTCATCTGATGGTGAAAGCACCCCTTCTTTTGGGTGGACTCTCGAATATCACCTCTTTTATGAGATAAATCTATTTGAGTATGATCTGTGGGATTTTAAAAAATAAAGTTTTTAGAAGGATAAAGATCAGACTATTGGTAGTGGTTATTCTAGGTAGTTTTAAAGCTTATATTTTAACATTTTAAACTTATCTGTACAAGGCTTTTAAGTTTTGTTTTTTAATTAGACTTTTACATCTTGAGATAAATCGTAGATTCATATGTCATTCTATGAAATAATAAAGAGAGATCCTTTGTACCCTTTTCTCAGTTTGCTCCAATGGTAACATCTTGCAAAACAAATACGACAATATCACAACCAGGATATTGACCTTGATACAGTCAAGATATAGAATATTGCTATCACCACGAGGATCCCTCATGTTGCCCTTTTTTAGCCACACCCACTTCCCTCCTGCACCTGCCCTAATGCTAACCCTAGCAACCACCAATATGTTCTCCATTTCTATAATTTTGTCACTTCAAAAGTATTGTGCAATGAAATAATATGTTACGCATTCTTTTGGCATTGACTTTGTTTTTATTCAGCATAATTTTCCGGAAGTTAACCCAGGTTGTTGTGTGTATCAATAGTTATTTCCTTTCAATTGCTGAATAATATTCCATAGTATAGATGGACCATAGTCTGTCGAACCATATTCTAAATTGAAAGACATTTAGTTTGTTTTCAGTTTTTGGCCATTTTGAACAAAGCTGTTATAAACATTCATGTACAGGTTTTCGTATGAACATAAGTTTTCCTTTCTTTGAGATAAACGCTCAGGAGCACAATTGCTGGGCCATACAGCAGTTTTAATATATGTTATTTTGTGATATAAATTTCTCTCTCTGAACTACTTTAACTGTATCCCACCAATTTTGATACATTGTACATTCATTTTCATTCCTTCAGTGAATTTTTGGATTTCTCTTGAGACTTCCTCTTTGGCCCATGAATTATTTAGAAGTTTGTTTAGTTTTTGAGTATTTGGAGATTTTTCTGTGATCTTTCTATTATTGATTGCTAGTTTGATTCCATTGTGGTCATAGAATGCACTCTGTATGATTTCAGTTATTTTTAAGTAATTGAAAGTTTGGTTGTTTTAAGGCCCAAGATATGATCTATCTTAGTTTATGTTCCGTAAGTACTTGAAAAAAATGTGTATTCTGCTGTTGTTAGGTGGAGTGCTCTAACATGTTTATTAGATCCTGTTGACTGATAGTGTTGTTGAATTCTTATGCATCCTTGCTGATTTTCTTTACAGTTGTTCTATCAGTGGTTGAGAGAAGGATGCTGAAGTCTCCGATTATTTCTTGTTTTTTACTGTTTTTAAATTCGATCGCTTTTGGGGTACAGGTGGTTTTTGGTTACATGAATGAATTGTATAGTTGTTAAGTCTGGGATTTTAGTGGATCCACCATCTGAGTAGTGTACATTGTACCCAGTAGTTGGTTTTTCATCCCTCACCCCCTTCCATGTCTCCCCCATTCTGAGTCTCCAATGTCCGTTATACAACTCTGTATTTCTTTGCAAACCCATAGCCTAGCTCCCACTTAAAAGTGAGAACATGTGGTATTCAGTTTTCTGTTTCTGCCTTAATTTCCTTGAGATAATGGCCTCCAGCTTCATCCATGCTGCTGCAAAGGACATGATTTTGTTCTCTTTTTTTGGCTGTATAGCATTCCACTGTGGCAGTCCCCACTTATAATTATGAGTTTGTCTATGTTTTCTTTCTGTTCTCTCAGTTTTTGCTTCACATATCTTTTTGGTGTGAACACATTTAGGTTTGCTGTGTCTTTTAGTGAATTGACCTTATGTCATTATATAATGTCCCTCTCTGCTTCTGGTAATTCTCTTTGCTCTGAGCTCCACTTTATCTGATATTAATATAGCCATTGCTGCTTTCTTTTAATTAATGCTTGCACGATATATATTTTCCCACCCTTTTACTTTTAATTTGTCTATATATTTATATATAAAGTGAGTTTCTTGTAGACAGCAAATGGTTGGGTTATGTTTTATAATTCACTACAAATCTCTGTCTTTTAATTGGCTTATTTAGTCCATTTAAATATAATGTAATTACTGATATGTTAGGGCTCAAGTCTGCTATTTTGTTATTGGTTTTGCATTTTTTCCTATGGACTAACTGAACATTCTTTAGAATTCATTTTTTATTTTATCTGTAATGCTTTTATATATATCTATTTGTATAGCTTTTTGAATGGTCACTGCATATATTGTTACTTATCACAGTCCACTGTTATCATTTTACCAGTCCTAGTGAACTGTACCTCCCTTTATTTCCCTTTACCTGCCTCCATTTATAATATGATTGTCTTAAATATTTACTCAGCATACATTTAATGCTACATCAGACTGTGTTATTTTTTATTCAGCCATCTAAGATAACTTAGAAAACTCAAGAGGAGAAGGAAAATCTATTGTATTTACCCAGATTTTTCCCTTTCTTATTATTTCTTCCTGATGTTCCAAGATTTCTTTCTTTTATTATCCTTTTTTCTGTTTAGAGAATTTCCTTTGGCCATTCTTCTAGAGTAGGGATGCTGGTGACAAATTATTTCAGTTTTTCTCCCTCTGAGAGTATCTTGATTTCCTCTTCATTCCTGAAGGATATTTTTGCTGGATATTGGACTCTAGGCTGACAGTGCTTGTCCTTCAGCAATTAGAATATGTTATTCCACTTCCTTCTAGCATTCATAATTTTTGATGAAAAGTACACTGTCATTCAAATTATATTTCATCTAAGATAAGGTGTTGTTTCTCTCTTGATCCTTTCAAGATTTTTTCTTTGTCTTTAGTTTTCAGAATTTTGACTATGAGATGTCTTGGTGTGTATTTCTTGGCTTTATCCTGTTTATGGTTCACACAGCCTCTTAAAACTGTAGTTTTATATATTTTGCCAAATTTGACAAGTTTTATGTGATTATTTATTCAAGTACTTTTTCAGCCCTGCCTTCTTTCTCCTCTCCCAGGAGGTTCTCCTCTTCAGGTTCCACACTCAGCCTCCATTGCCAAGTTTTAAGTGATTATTTCTTCAAGTAGTTTTTCAGCCCGGCCTTCTTTCTCCTCTCCCACTGGTACTCCAATCACATGAATGTTAGACCTTTTGTCTGACATTACTAAGGGGTAGAGTGGGAGTTCCAGCTACCTATTAGGTTTTGTCTTTGTTTGTGCTGCTATAAAGGATACCCAAGGCTGAGTCATTTATAAATAAAAGAGGTTTATTTGGCTCACAGTTCCGCAGGCTGTACAAGAAGCATGGCATCAACATCTGCATCTGGTGAGAGCCTCAAGCCACATGCAGTCATGGTGGAAGGTTAAAAGGAGCTGGTGTGAAGAAATCACATGGTGGGAAACTGGGTGCAGGGGGAAGGTGCCAGGCTCTCAGGGGAACTAAGCTGGTTCCCAACCAGTTCTCAGGAATGAAGAGTGAGTACTCACTCACTCCCATGAGAATGACACCAAGCCATTCAGAGAGATTGGCTCCAACCATCCAAAGACCTCTCACCAGGCACCACCTCCAACACTGGAGATCAGATTTCAACATGAGACTTGGTGGGACCAAAAAAAAACATATCTAAGTTCTAACAGGCCTCCACTGATACGTCTCTGGCTAGAAACGGTAGGAGTGCCTCCTTACAGCTACAATGCCACCACAGCAGAGGGGATGACCTCATTACTTCTGGGCAGTGGTAAAAGTCTTGACTCCCTGCTAGGCTTCCTCTGACATCATCTTATCATGGAGGTGTCTCTTTACTGTCTGGTGGGGGTGGAAGTCCAGGCTCCTCACTGGTGTCCACTAACACTGTGGAGTGGGAGGGGGCTAATTACCGCTAATGGAGATAAAAGACCTGGCTATCTACTTGGCTTCTTCAGACAGTGGCCATGGCAGGGGATTTGGGGAACCTCATTACGGCCTGGCCAGGGTGGAAGTCTAAGCCGATTAACTGGCTTTTGCTGGTGGAGGTGGCACCACAATTTTCCCTGTGGAGTTTGGCTGGAATAGAGCAGGTATTGTCTAAAAGTGTCTGTCTTGCTAAGTTGCCTCTTTCCTCAGGCTTTGGCTAGAGAGAGCAGGCTTTTGTGAGGGCTTTATTTTAAATCTGCACCCATTTTTTCAGATTGCTGGCTGTTCAGCTCCAAGTCTGGAATCTATAAGGCAAAAAGAGAAGCCAGGGAACTCACCCATGCCATTCCTTGTCCCCAGGGTCCCTAGCCTGTGTGCCTTCTCTCTCTCTTTCAGGGTCTCTTATGTTAGTTTTATATATATTGTTCAGGGCTTGTAGTTGTATTTCAAATGGAATAGGGAAAAGCATATCTACTCCACTTACCCAGCACCATTTTTTAATTTATATATATATAACCTCTGTTATCTATGTGATAAAAAACAAGGCATAAAATATATATTATGAAAAATGTTTAATAAAAAATAAAAATTATTCCTATTTTTACCTCCCAGATATAATTTCTGTTAGCATTTGGACGTGTAACCATGTTGGGTAGTGACATGGTTTGGCTCCGTGTCCCCACCCAAATCTCATCTCCAATTGTACTCCCATAATTCCCATGTGTTGTGGGAGGGACCTGGTGGGAGATAATCTGAATCATGGGGGCAGTTTCCCCCATACTGTTCTTGTGGTAGTGAATAAGTCTCACGTGATTTGATGGTTCTATCAGGGGTTTTACTTTTGCATCTTCCTCATTTTTCTCTGGCTGCTGCCATGTAAGACGTGCCTTTTGCCTCCTGCTATGATTCTGAGGCCTCCCTAGCCGTGTGGAACTGTAAGTCCAATTAAACCTATTTTTCTTCCCAGTCTCAGGTATGTCTTTATCAGCAGCATGAAAATGGACTAATACGGGTAGTTTTTCTTTTGACATCGATATAGACATTTTTTTTCAAACTGGAAGAACCTTAGGGTTCTTTTGGATCCTGGGGCATTTCATAAACCCAGCTCTTCTGAGCAAAGCTTCCCAAAGCAGTTGCCTCTCTGTCACTTCTCTCTCCTTAGCCCATTCCATTTGGTCTTTTCTTCCTGCACTTGTTCTTTCATGGTCACTCAAACCCTCCATGTCACCAGATCCAGTGGCCACTTCTCTGCCCTCATGCTGTAGACCTTGCAGTGGCATTCCTCACTCCCTCCTTGAAACATGCTTGTTTTGGATCCTGTCACATCGTGTTCTCCTCCTGCTCATGAGCTGCATCTTCTCAGTGTCTTTTTGTGATACTTCCGGTGCCACCTCTTAACACTGGAGGTGTTCTCCTCACTCTTCTCGCTTCACATGGTTCACAGCCTCAGTGACCACAGCACCATGTGAACTCCCAAATAGAGAGCTGTAGCCCAGACCTCTCCATTGGGGTCTGAAGGGGATAGAACTCGGACAAAGCAGGACTCTTGTTTTCCTCTCCCAAATTGTCCTCTCCCCAAACTTCTCCATCTCAGTGAATGTGATGCATCTATCTGCATTAAAGGAAAAGACAAAAGGGGATGAAGCATCCAAGGAAAAAGTGCACACCCACTTGGGGACCAAAATGTACTCAGCCATGATGCAAGCTGTACCCACTTATTATAGAGATTTTGGCCTGAACCTAAGCCTGGATTTTCTTAATCCATTTCCATCTGATTTAGACATAATGTCAATCCCTCATTCTGGCTTGTCAGTGTTGGTTTCAGTTTGGATTGTATGCATGTGTGTTCCTTTTTTCTCTATCTATCTATCTATCCATCTACTATCTATCTACTATCTATCTATCTATCCATCTACTATCTATCCATCTACTATCTATCCATCTACTATCTATCTATCATCCATCTACTATCTATCCATCTACTATCTATCTCTCCATCTACTATCTACCTATCCATCTACTATCTCTCCATCTACTATCTATCTATCTATCCATCTACTATCTATCAATCCATCTATCTATCAATCTACTGTCTATCCATCTACTATCTATCCATCTACTATCTATCTATCTATCCATCTACTATCTATCATCTACTAGCTAACCATCTATCTATCTACCCATCTACTATCTATCTATCCATCTACTATCTATCTATCTATCCATCTACTTTCTGTCTATCTATCTACCCATCTATCCATCTACTATCTAGCTATCTATTCATCTACTATCTATCTATCCATCTACTATCTATCTATCCATCTACTTTCTATCTATCCACTATCTATCTATCCATCTATCCATCTACTATCTATCTATCTATTCATCTACTATCTATCTATCTATCCATCTACTATCTAACTATCTATCTGGTATATTTGGTGAGAAGTTGGGAGAGACTGCATCAGTGCCTGATGCCCTAATGTCATAGTAAGTTGTCCATTAGAGATCTAGAGAGTTCTAGACTGGGCTAAACGGGACTCTTGACATCAGCGTTTGTTTCATAAAAAGTTGTAAAAACCACACCTGGCCAAGTATCGGGAGGAGTGTCTGATTTCAGTTCTGTCCACAAACCTGATGAGTATCTGTTTTCTTGTTAGAGAGGTTTCGCTCTAAAGCATATTCATGAATGGGATGGAGGGGGAGAATTTGAGAGATTTTTCTTGCATAATTGGGCAGGAGTTCAAAGAGAGTAAAAAGGAGACTAGTGAAGATGTGCCCGTGTCTGAGAACAATGACCTGCTGTTGGATTAATGGAGAGAAGACGGGGTGGTAAATGGTTTATCACTCTGGAAGAGAAGAAAAGCTGTGCAAGGGAAAAGATAATGGATTGGACCAGTCTACCCCAAACTTATTCTGATAGTAAAGCATCTAGAAGTCACAGTGCTCTGGAAGGAGAAAAATCTTCCTTGCCCAAAACTATGAAATATTCATATCTGTCTTACAAACTAGAAATGATTCTACCTGTAGAAAGTGAGCAGCCTGTGTCAGGCTGCAGGTGGCTCACGCCTGTAATCCCAGCACTTTGGGAGGCTGAAGCCAGCAGATTGCTTGAGCTCAGGAGTTCAAGATCAGCCTGGCAACATGGTGAAACCCCACCTCTACAAAAAAAAAAAAAAATTAGCCAGGCATTGTGACATGTGCCTGTAGTTCCAGCTACTTGAGAGGCTGAGGCAGGAGGATCGCTTGAGCCCAGGAGGTCAAGGCTGCAGTGAGGTATGATCACACCACTGCACTCCAGCCTGGGAGGCAGAGCAAGACCCTGTCTTGAAAAGGAAAGGGAAGGGAAGGGGAAGGGAGGGGAGGGGGGGAGGGGAGGGGAGGGAAGGGAAGGGAAGGCTGCAATGTCACAACTGCAATCTTTTTCCACACCCAGAAGGCTGCAGTGAGGTATGATCACACCACTGCGCTCTGGCCTGGGAGGCAGAGCAAGACCCTGTCTTGAAAAGGGAAGGGAAGGGGAGGGGAGGGGAGGGGAGGGGAGGGGAAGGGAAGGGAAGGGTGCAATGTCACAACTGCAATCTTTTTCCACATCCAGAAAAACCAGAAAGCTGCCAATATATGTGTAATTGGCCTTTCTTGAGTTTTTACATTTACATTCATTTGCTGCTTTATTCTCCTGTGCACATTGTCTAACCATTAAGATGGGCTCCATATTTAAAGGTGGTAGGATTAAACAGTCTCCCGTGTAAGTGCCCAAGGTTTAGCCCAGGTGCCCAAAGAATTCGGTTGCTGCCTGGAGCTTATTGCTTGTTTTATTGTTATAGTCTTCCTCTGGTTTCCCAGCTTGGCAGTAATTTCAGTTTGCCCACCCCTGGCTCCAGTATAGCTGCTCTTACTTGCATGGGGAAGCTAAATTGCCTACAGCATACTTCATTTACCAGCTGAGAGAATACTCTGTACCGCAGTCTCCTCATCTGTAAAATGGGGGTAAGGAGTGTCTACCTCACATGGATTTAATGACTTAATTCATAGAAACACCTAGAACGGTGCCTGCCACATAGTAAGCTTTCAATTCCTATTAGCTGCTATTATTAAAATTATTATATGAAAAGGTGACATTGTACATCCTGTTGTCTTTTCGGTACTGTACCTGGGTAGAGTGGACCAGAGAGACCTTAGTTCGAATCCTCTCTGTGCTATCCGTATGTCCTTGGGAAAGTCTTTTAGCCAACAGGAGCTGAACTTCCTCATCTCTGCAAGTTCAGAGTGTCCTAGAGTGGCTCAAAATAAATGAGATCATGTGCTTCAAGCCCTAAGCATGGTATCTGGCCCAGGGTCAGTGCTGTGTACACGTTAGCATCTTTCTCCTTCCCCTCCTTCATCCTCATCCCATTTCTTCTTGGTCTTGACCACAACTGTGGTCTTCCCAGGCATTCCTGTGCCCCTTCCTTGGTAAAGAAGGGCTTGAGCAAAGATGGGGGGAAGTGGGCAGTCTTGCCTCTGCTTCTTCAGTGTTTCTTTCTTTTGGTACATCTCTACTTCATCTTCTGCCTTCCCTGGACCTCCACACCATGTCCACCTACCTTTTCACATTTCCTCCCTCTCCTGGCCCCAGAGTCCTTCTCCTGCCCACTAGCTACCGTCACTGCTGTAACAGACTCATCTGGTGGCTAAATCATCCTCCAAGAATCTTACATCTTGAAAAATAAGCTAGGACAGAGGAAGTGAACAGCCCTAACCCAAGGAGAATGAATCACCAACAATGGAAACTCAGCCAATTTTTATGCAAGACGTCTTCCCTGGAAGCCTCAAATTACAACACTGAGACGAAACAGTACACTCAGCCCTTTAAGTGTCTAGAAACCAGTAGAAATGACTTCCTATGAACACGACATAGGAAAGAACATGGGCTTTGAGAGTCACGCCAACTTTGCACAGACTTCAAGCTCGGGCCATAGGAATTGTGACCATAGGAACTTGAGTGAATAAATGGCTTACCCTCCCTGAGCTGCAGGAAATGTGAATAATTATGATAATGTCACAGGGTGATTATGATTATCAAACTAAGTAATCAATGTCTTGGGGATTAACTGAATGTTAATTCCCAAGACAATGGGGATTGATAATTTGATAATCAATTTGATAATCAATTATGATTATCAAACTAAGTGAAAGCGCCCAACATAGTACCTGACACAGATCAGCCACTCAATAATTACCTTCCTCCTTTTCTTCCTCCCTCCCTCCCTCCTTCTCTCCCACCCTCCCACCTTCCCTCCTTCCCTCCTTCTTTCCTATTCTCCAGGCTGAAACTCATGGAGAATGAACAAATCGGGTGGTTTGTTTTTGTTGTTGAGTTATACAGGAGTTCTTTATATATTCAAGATGGTAGCCCTTAATCAGATATACGATTTGCAAATATTTTCTTCCATAACATGGCTTGCCTTTTCACTCTGTTGATTGTATCCTTTAATGCACAGAGTTTTAAATTTTGATATTTAACTATTTTTTCTTTTGTTGCCTGTGCTTTTTGTGTTATATCCAAGAAATCTTTGACAAATCCAATGTGATGAAGCTTCCCCCAATTTTTCTTCTAAGAGTTTTATAGTTTTAGCACTTTACATTTAGATCTTTGATCCTTTTTGAATTAATTTTTTATGGTATTGAATCTTCCTAACACCAGAATATGTATTTCCATTTACTTTTGCTTTTTCGTGTCCCTCAAACATTTTCTTTATAAAAATATTGCATATTTTTAAAGTTTTTAAAAAAATTTGTATTACTTTTGTTGCTGTTAGAAGTGGAATCTTGTTTCCCCAACATAATTTATTTGCATAGTTAGATAATATTGATTTCTATATTAATTTGTGCCTAACCACTTTACCTAACTCTGTTCTTTGGTATGACCATTTTTCAGTTGATTTTCTTGGGTTTCTATGAACATTTCGAGGGTGAAAAATTATGAATTATGCCAATTCTATAATTGGCAAAGCTATAATTCATGAGCCAGAATGAATGACATATGACATGTAAAGTCTCAGAAAGTACCTCACCCACATATCTGTCCTGAAACTACTCGAAATACTTGAGTGAGCAAGACATGAACCAAAATAAAGGACTTATAAGTAGGAATGGTAGGGTACAAAACAAAACAGTGAGTAATAAAATAAATGAAACTTAAAGCCACTGTCCAAAAATACTGCTGTTATCACAGTTATTACATTTAATGTAAATGTCAAAAACATTGAAAGAACTATGAAGTAGTATAAAATATTTAATACAGGCCGGGTGCAGTGGCTCATGCCTGTAATCCCAGCACTTTGGGAGGCTGAGGCGGGTGGATCACCTGAGGTCAGGAGTTTGAGACCAACCTGACCAACATGGTGAAACCCGTCTCTACTAAAAGTACAAAAATTAGCCAGCCGTGGTGATGCATGCCTGTAATCCCAGCTACTCAGGAGGCTGAGGCAGGAGGATAGCTTGAACCTGGGAGGCAGAGGTTGCAGTGAGCCAAGATTGCGCCATTGCACTCCAGCCTGGGCAACTAGAGCGAAACTCCATCTCAAAAAAAAAAAAAAGAAAAAGAAAAAAGAAAAAAAAATACTTAATATACATATGGACCTGTATTTTAAAAGAAAACAAGTTACGTTAAAAGAAGGGCTAAAATTACAGAAGTAATTGTAAAAATTATATAGGAATTTCTGATTCTTGCTAATTAACTTTAAAATCTTGATTAAAGTGAATGATATTGTCAGAAAACCTAAATTTGCAAAGTTGACACATAAAGTTCAATACCTGAACAGACCAATAACTCTGGAAGAAATTTGAAAAGGGATTCCAAAAATAGCCTTGAGGAGAGCAGCTGAAGTCACTCACTGCTGGGCAGCAAGGAGAGTGCGATCCTCATCTATGCAGAGGGATGCATGATTATCCTTCGTTCCAGGCTCAGATTCTACTTACAGATTTACTGCCGTCTGATCTGGGCAAGTCCCTTCACCACTCAGAGCCTTTGTTTTCATATCTGTAGAGTGGGAATGTTGTACTAAATGGTACCTAAGGTGCCTTCCCAGTCTTAGAGTCAAATGTGTGTGTGTATGCATGTGTGTGTAAAATAAAAAGCATGACTTTCCAAGTCTAACTGTGCGTCAGAATCATGCAGGAGGTGTTTTATTTCTTGGCCTAGTTCTGAAGACATCAAGAGTTGGGCAGGTGAGATGTGTGTGTTAAGAAAGCACTCTGGGCCGGGCATGGTGGCTCACGCCTGTAATCCCAGCACTTTGGGAGGCCGAGGCAGGTGGATCACTTGAGGTCAGGAGTTCGAGATCAACCTGGCCACCATGGTGAAACCCTGTCTCTACTAAAAGTAGAATAATTAGCCTGGTATGGTGGTGCATGCCTGTAATCTCAGCTACTCGGGAGGCAAGAGAATCCCTTGAACCTCGGAGGCTGAGGTTGCAGTGAGCCGAGATCACGCCACTGCACTCCAGCCTGGGCAAAAGAGCGAGACTCCGTCCAAAAAAAAAAAAAAAAAAAAGAAGGAAAAAGAAAAAAAGAGAAAGAAAGAAAGAGAGAGAGAGAGAAGGAGAGGAGAGGAAGGAAACTCTGATAGGTAACAGAGAACATATATTGAATGTTTGTTATGCACTGGGAATGTTTCCACACATTTGTCTATGTTAACTCATTGTGCTTAACCTTGAGCTCTTGCAGATCCCAAGCACACACATGGTGTGCCCTGTCCTTTTAGGTGACACCAACACGGTATGACACAAATGCAAACTGGGCACGGAGATCTGGTAACATTTGGTCATGAGGTGGTCATCAAGATGTTCCAGAATATATTAACTATGAACTGTATCTAGACTGACATTAAAATGAAAACATAACTTGAACATTCTCAAAGACAGCCCTTAAATCCCCCACAGAGCCCCAGAAATTCTCAGCCCCAGTTTAGGAACTTCAGGTTGGGGGATTTTGAGGCAGCCAGCCTTGCGCTAGTCCACTGTGACTACAGAAGAAATAGCAATGTTCAAGAAGCTCATGTAAGGTAGGGAATCATTTGATAACTGCCTGGAAAGATACTGAAAGGGCATAAGGCTATGTAAATATATAAAAGGTCTTAGAGCCATGTCTACCATTCACTCAGCTTCCTCTAATTAACAACTTACATAAACATGGTGCAGTTATCAAAACCAGGAAATGGTCACTAACAGAGTACTATTAACTAAACGACAGACCTCATTTGAATCTTAGCATATTTTCCCCCTAATGTTCTCTTTCTGTTCTACAATTCAGTACAGGATCTCACATTGCATTTAGCCTTTGTGTCTCCTTAGTCTCTACCAATCTGTGATAGTCCTCTATCTTTCCTTATCTTTGATGACCTGAACACTTTGGTGAGGACTCACCATAGTGAATGTCTATGTGGTGAGTAATCACCATATAGAATGTCTCCAAACTGGGTTTTGAATGGTGTTTTCTCATGATTGTAGTTATGTGTTTTTGGCAAAAAAACAAAAACAAAAAAACACAAAGAAGTGACGTGTCCTTCCCTTCTCAGTGCATTACAGCAGGGGATACATGATGCTGATATGTATAGCTTATTGCTGGTCATGTTAACCTTGATCATATGGTTAATGTGCTGTCTGCTGGGTTCCTCCACTGAGAAGTTCTTGTTTTCCCCTTTATAAGTGGTAATTATTTGGGGGGAAATACTTTGAGGCTATACAAATATCCTATTTGTCCACAGATTTTCACTAACAGATTTTTAGCATTCATCAGTGGATCTACAATTATTACCATGGTGTTTGCCTAGTGACAATTTTCTATTTCTCTCATTCCTCTCACATTATTAATTGGAATTCTTTTGTAAAGAAGACCTGTCATTTCTCCTCCATTTATGTTTTTATTCAATTATCTATAACATTTAATTATCTATAATTATCTATAGACTTGTGGGTATTTATTTTATTCTATGAGTTATAATTCATCACTTTCTTTGTTCATTCAAATTGTCCTAGCTGTGGCCATTGGAAGCTCCTTCAGGTTAGACCCTATGTCCTTTTGACACTCCCCATGGTTTTTCAAATATTGACTTATTTTCTGGCACTACAAGATGTGCTGGGTTTATTTTGTATATTTCCTGTTTCAATCCTAGGATCAGCCATGTCTCCAAGGAGCTCTGTTTCCTTTTATTGGAAAATGGTATTTAGAAACCAAGATCTGGGCACTAGGTGTGCTTGTTGCTACTGGGATGTCATTGCCTCTGGGCTTTCTCTGTAGACAGAACTAGAAAATGTATGTATGTGTATTAATCCAAGCACATACATCTTTTTAAAATTTTTCTATATGTATTTATCTGTATATACATTAAAAACCATGAGTTCATACTGATTCTTTCAAGTCTGGTCCAACTCCACAAGGTTCATTCCAGCCTTCCCCCTTCTTTATTTGTCACATCTTTCTTTAGCTCTTATTATCTATGGTTTATTCACTTATTTGTCTAATGCTAGTGTACACATAAAGAACTTTCAGATTTCTTTCTTTTTTTTTCTTTTTTTGACATGGAGTCTTGCTGTGTCACCTAGGCTGGAGTGCAGTGGCACAATCTCAGCTCACTGCAACCTCCGCCTCCTGGGTACAAGCAATTCTTCTGTCTCAGCCACCCGAGTAGCTGGGACTACAGGCGCACACCACCACACCTGGCTAATTTTTGTATTTTTAATAGAGACAGGGTTTCACCATATTGGTCAGGCCGGTCTTGAACTCCTGAACTCAGGTGATCCACCCGCGTTGGCCTCCCAAAGTGCTGGGATTACAGGCATGAGTCACCATGCCCGGCCCCGAACTTTTAGAATTTTTAACTCACATTCATATGAGAAACATATTTAATAACTGGAAAACAGTATTTGTCTATAGTTTTTATTTTTGACTTTGACCAGTATCCAGTCAAAGTACCATTTTACAAAGTTACTGAAGTTAGTGCTTTCATTCCCTATCCCCGTCAGTGTGGTTATGTTAGTAATTGATTATACAGTTAGGTTAATTTGTTATTGCTTGTCTCCCACTTTTGGTCCCCTGCCCCCATATTCTGGTTGATTTCGATTATTTATTTAATTTTGGGTATGTAAAATATCGCCATGGTTCTAAGCGTTAAAGCTATACACACAGATAATCCTCAGAGAAGTGCTGTTCCTCCCTCATCTCCAGTTTCATTCCTTGATCCTATCCACCCTTTTCTCACCTCCACCTCCCATAGTAACTAACCAATCTCCTTAATTTCTGGTGTATCCTTCCTGTGTTGGGAAGAATTCTTTTACTTAGGTCACGGTGGAGATTCTGCCTTATGAAGGCATGAGGAAGGGACTGGGGCAGAGAAGGGAGAGTCAAGCCTCGGAAGGTAAGAAGCAGGAGAGGGAGGAGTCATCCAGGACGGAAGCAGGCTGGGTCAGCCCAGGACTGCATGGGCCTAGAATATTCCAGAACACCAGGAAAGCAGTGTGGAGAGCCAGCCAGAACCTGGAGGCCCCCTCCATATGAGATGCAGGCCCTCTAACTCCTCCTTTCATTACTATTTAGAAACCCCCAAGAGGCTCTCCTCCCTGCCCCATCGTGGGCTGCCTTGGGAAGCTGGACCCAGGCAGACCCTACACCTCCTCTGACCAGCCCTGCACCAGAGGGAAGATGAGCCCTCCACATCATGGCATCCTGTCAACATGGGAAGAAAAAGTGGAAGCAGGACTGGCTCTCTCTGTGCCCTCTGGGGTCCCACCAACCCACCCCGACTCCAGGCCTTTCTGCCCCATGCAGGGTCCCCAGCAAGGACTATGAGTCCTCTTTGCTGGCTCAGAAGAGGAACTTGGAGATGGGGGAAGGCCCTGTTGTTGGATATTTCAACACCACCTCACCACTGGCAGGGGAATTGGTGGCGGGGGCGGGGGGGCGGGGGGCGGCATTCCCGGCAGCAGCTGGAATTTTACAATGGGAGCTCCTCTCAACAAGATAGGGAGGGGGCTTGGGAGGGTGATGCCAGGGAAGCCAGGCCCTGCTTGCCCAGCTTTTGAAAAAAGGCGTCATGCTGGGAGAGCGGGTGCCACTGTCTTCCCCCCTCACCTCTGCCCCAAAGCCGTGAGGTTCTGCTGACAAGTCATAAGAAACAGCTGATGACTGACTCAGACGGAAATGAGCGTGTCAAAGGGGTGGGTGGTGAGCCCGGTGTGCTGGGTTAACCCCCAGGGCAGCTCAGCTGAGGGTCCCCTGGCTGGGTTCCCTCTCCCCATCTCTCAGGCTCCCAGGGGCTAGTGGCTCAGGCAAGTCCTGCCTCTGAGAAGAACTTGGGGCGAGCTCGAGAAAGCCTTGGAATGCCGGGGAGGCTGGCACACCAGAATTCCACCAGTGCCTGAGGATATCCTGCCCTTCCGTGGAGAAGGCTTTGATGTGTCCCTTGAGCAGGGTGGGGTTGGGGGGAAGGGGCACACCGAGGCCAGGAGATGGGAAAGTCACAGGCGGCCCCAGAATGAGAAAGAGAAGCCATGGGCAGTCAGGCATTGGGTGCGGTGTGCTAGCAGCAGTCCTATGGCACTGTGTTCTGCCCCCTTAAGGACAGGAGTGTGCAGAAGTGGTGTTGGCTGAGAACATTCATTTGCATCTTGTGTTTGCATCCATTACAGTGTGGGACACGTAATGAGTGAGCAGGATGACTCACTCCTGCTTCATGGCATAACCAGCTTGGCCATCGCAGCAGGGGCTGGGCAGAGGGGTCTTAAAACCCAGATCACACGGTTCAGGACATGCTCCAGGCTAGAGACGCCTGGGCCCCGTGAGCCACCACGGTCATCACCGGTGGAGTCCGAGAGAGTGTTGCTCGGTATCCCCTCTGGCACACACTCCTGTGAGCCTTGGCCTTTTCTCTGGAGGATGCAGGGCTGTGCGGGGCAGCTGGTGTAGATAGATGTGGTGGGGCTCACAATCCCCAGCAACTGAGAGTCTAGATTTTCTTTTTTTTTTTTTTTTGAGACAGAGTCTTGCTCTGTCACCCAGGCTGGCATGATCTTGGCTCACCGCAACCTCCACCTCCCGGGTTCAAGCCATTCTCATGCCTCAGCCTCCCGAGTAGCTGTGATTACAGGTGTGCACCACCACACCCAGCTAATTTTTTGTATTTTTAGTAGAGACAGGGTTTCCCCATGTTGGCCAGGCTGGTCTCAAACTCCTGACCTCAGGTGATCCACCCGCCTCAGCCTCCCAAATTGCTGGGATTACAGACATGCCTAGCCTACCTCTTAAAGCAAAATCAAGTCTTCACTTGTTGAAGTAGAAACATGAATTGGTTTTAATTTTCTTCCAGTAACTGCCTCCGACTGTGCTGAGGGGCAATGTATTCTAGTGGTTGAAACCCCAGACCCCCTGGGTTTATACCCTGGCTTTGCCATCTCCTAGCTGTGTGACTTTAGGCAAGCTGTTTAACCTCTCTGTGCCACCAATTTCCCATCTTTAACCTGCCCCATCCAGCTTCCTACAAAATTGGTCCAGCCTTCAGCCTCCTTCTGATAGGTTTCCCTCATGCTGCTGGCAGCCCTCTAGAAAAGTAACAACAAACCGGCTCAGGCCCCACGTTTGTTCCACCCCTCACCCCAATCTGGAGCTGCTGACTTGTCCAACAGTGGGTCTGCAAGATGCCCCCTCTGCCCCTTGTCTCAGCCCTGCCATGGCTCACAGGCAGCACCGGAGCAGGCGAGCGAGTTTGCCGGCTGAGTAGATAGTGACCCGAGGAACAAAGGGCAGCATCCTCAGCTTTGGGCATCCCAGTCTGTGTCAGGACTTCTCTGAAAGCCCTCTGCCCTCAGCTTTGCGGAGAGAAGGAAGGATCTTCCAGATGGGCTGACAACCCTTTTTCTCTTCCCAATCTTATGACAGGGATTGGCGGGTCACTGTGCTGGTTCTGGACTGACACCTCCCAGCAAGCCCACCAGAGTGGCTGCGCCCACGTCCTTGACAATACTCCGTGGCTCTTAGAACTTTAGAATGCAGAGGATTTAGCAACTTTTGTCCCTAGAATTGGGTCTCAGCCACAATTTGAAAATAAAAAGTCCTCCCTGATCCCCTTGTCTGTTTATACCAGTGTCAACTCTCTCCCAGCTGCCTCGAACAAGTCCCTTATCCTTCCTGGACCTCAGCCTCCCCTTCTGTAAAATGAGGGACTTGCTGGGGAGGCCTCTGAGCTCCCTCCAAGAACCTGCTCTGGGGGTAACCTGGGAGAAATCAGCCTGTGAGAACAAAGGGTCGCTGTCACATCTGGGCCAGCTGTTCATGCCCCAGGCTCATCCATGTGAAGGTGTCTGGTGTTCTACCTCCTCCAGCAGGTGCCGTTAGCCCTGAGCTGGAATAGGACCCACCTCCAGAGGGTCTTGTGGTCGGGCTGCCATGGGAGGCAGAAAGATGAGGCCTCATCACAGGTGTCAGTCCCCACAGATGCTCATCCATGCCAGGTGCCAGCACAATCCCAGGTCAGGGAGGGGTCTGCCCGGTCTGGCTCAGGGTCAGTGGACTCACGACCTGAGCTACCTGTGGAGGTGTTAAACAGAAGATCCAAAGGCAACTGTAAAAGTCACATGGAAGGGCCTCAGGATGTCTTTGGGCATCCAGGTGCTGCTAATGGACACACCCAAGGTCTTGAGTCACCAATGAAAGGTTTTCTTCTTTTTGTTTTCTTTTTGAGATGGAATCTCGCTCTGTCACCCAGGCTGGGGTGCAGCGGTGTGATCTCGACTTACTGCAACCTCCGCCTCCCGGGTTCAAGCGAGTCTCCTGCCTCAGCCTCCCGGGTAACTGGGATTACAGGTGCCTGCCACCACGCCTGGCTAATGTTTTAAAATATTTTTTAGTAGAGATGGGGTTTCAAGATGTTGGCCAGGCTGGATTCGAAATCCTGACCTCAAGTGATCCGCCCACCTTGGCCTCCCAAAGTGCTGGGATTACGGGCATGAGCCACCGCACCCAGCCACCCGTGAAAAGTTTTCTGAACTCAGCTCTTCACCTCCACAGCCAGAAGGCATGGGACCTAATGGGTTAGTCTTTGTCCTGGGCCAGCCCGGCGCCCTGGCATATACTCCTGGGTCCAGGTTCTCAGCAAGCTAATTCCTGCACCCAGACTGTGGCATGGGCTGGCTCCCCTTTCTCCAATACTCTTCCCCCTCATTTGCCCTGGCTTCCTCATCCAGCTTAAATGTCCCTTCTTCAGAGAGGCCTCCCTGACCCCCCAACACCCTGGAGGGGGGTCCCCACTTGTCCCACTCCCAGCACCATCCTTTACAGCATGTTTCACTTCTTGGAATCACGTCTTTGTTTGCTCCATTGCTCAGTGTCTGTGTCTCCCACCAAGGAGCACAGCTGCTTGGTTCACTGCTGTCTCCTCTAGTCTCCTCTAGTGCCTGGCACATGGCAGACAGTCAGTGAACCCGTGATGGAACCAAGGTGCGTGTGCCGCTTCCTGCGTGCCCACTGCTGCACTGTCCGGCTTTGGAATGCATAGCCTACCACAGACACTGTGAAAGGATGCTGGAGAGCTCACAAAGGGCTTAGTTTTCACTTGGCGAGTGGTGCCTCCCAGGCTGGGGAGGCAGGAGGATTTGCCTGTGTGGGGCCTCCGTAAGCTGAATACTCTAGCCGCGCAGCTGAACCCAGGTTAGGATTTTATCCCTCTTTGTATGTCATCTGCATGGCTCAGCTCTGAGCTCTGTGCTTCCTCTTCTGGCTTCCAGAGCTGAACTGCAGCTTTCTCAGCATCCCTCTATGGCCTGGCCTGACTGGCCAGTGAAGGGGTCTGCCCGGAAGGAGTGAGTGCAGTGGCATCCCCTGAGGCCAGGGCGATGATGGCAATGACTGTAGCAGGGCAGCTCTCGCGTGTTGGAAGCTTACTCAGCGCATCTGCTACAGCATTTTATCTTCCCAAGAGCCCCATGAGGTTAGCACCATTGTCATCCCATTTTACAGATAAGTCAACAGAAGTTTGGAAAAGTTAAAGTATTTGCCCAAAGTCACATGGCTAGCAAATATCAGAGTCCAGGTTTGAGTGTAAGTCCGTCGGATGCCAGAGCCAAGCTTAATCACTGGGCCAAATCACCTTCCGTGGCTTCCCCAGAGACCCAGGAGCCCTCATACATAACTAAGAAGCTGGGCTGGCCCTGCTGGGGGCTCTCAGTTCCCCATACGGGGCTAAAACCCTCCTGAAATTCCCTCTTCAGTGACTTTCCAGCTCAGCTAAGCACCCCTTGGATTCTCCTCAGTAGGATGAGGAAGGAGGGCAGGGAAGGTCTTTGAATGACAGGTAACATTGCCAAGCCCCAGGGGAAGGAAAGAAAAATGGCAAAAGTGGAGGTTAGGGCAGAAAGGAAACAGATGCCTGTGACCTGGGCACCCAATCAGAGGGAGCTCCCTCCAAGCATATTGAGGGAGTTGCTGTGGCCTTGTCATCAGGAACACGCTCTCTGCCCCATCCCTGGAGGTTTGGAAAACACAGCCTGGAAATTCAGAAAAAGTCCTCCGAGTGATTCTGATTTTCCCCTCAGGATCTTCCTGCCCAGCCCACTGGGGTCTGACCACTCCCTGGGTACTTGGCGACACTTCCCACTGCCCAGTGCCCTTTCCACCTCTCTGCTCCCATTCCTGACCCCTTACTTCCCACACCTCTGTCCCGTTCTGCTGCAGGGGTGCTCTGTCCTGCCACTCAGATGTGGCCCTCCAGATGCCATTCCTACCCTGGAGGCAGCTGTAAGGCCCCTGGTCCTGTTTCCACAGCACCTGAGCTATAGCTGGGCTGGGCTGATCGCGCTGCACTGTGAGCACCTGTTGTCTTTACTGGACCAGGTGCTCTCTGGGAAAGGAGCTCGACAAGCTGACCGGCGTCTGTCCCCCATGCAGGCGATGACCCAGGATGCAGCCAGGGGCCACGACATGCACGGAGGACCGCATCCAGCATGCCCTGGAACGCTGCCTGCATGGACTCAGCCTCAGCCGCCGCTCCACCTCCTGGTCAGGTCGGTCCAAGGGAGCCGGGGAGGTGTTTGAGGGCTCAAGGAAGCCTCAGGGGCCACGGTGGGCACTGGACCAGGCATGGAAACTGGCAAATTCTAGGTGAAACCCTGTCTGTGTGACTTGGGCAAGCCTCAGCCTTCTCCTGGGCAGGTGCCTGGCGCAGCACTTGATGTAGTCAGACCTCAGTGTCTGGCACTTTCTCCCTTCTCCCACGGCATCTTCCTCATCCTACTCAGGGCTGGCTGCCTTTTACTTCTGGAAGAATCCATCGAATCTGCTTAGAAAACCACAACTGCTGATTCTGAAAAAGCAGCTGGGAATTCACAGGCAGCTCTCCCCAGAATTCTCCTGTTTGTTTGTTTCTAGTTCCCTCATAGTCCTATCCTCCTCTTCCCTATAGAATAAGGGAAAACTCAGCAGAGCTGCAGAGAGCAGGAGGCCTCTATGTTTCCCACCTCCCAGGACTAAAAAACAGGGTGTCCGCAGTCCCGGGCAGTTGCGTCTCTGAAGGCTGGCGCCTGGCTGTAATAATTCTTATGCTTGTAGAGCTTTCTCATGCCCCATATCTCACTGGCCTCCCTAACTTCTCCGTGAGTAGCCACCCAGTGCTCCTTGAACATACCTGGTCCCTCCGTACCTCAGCACCTTTGCACCTGCTGCCTGGAACTCTTCCCTGGGAAGTACACATAGCTGGCTCCTTCTCATCCAGGTCTCAGCTCAAATGTCGCTTCCTCTGAGAGGCTGTCCTTGGCCTTTGGAATGAGACAGACCTGGATTAAAGCTATCTCCCATTGGCTTTACAACCCTGCGCAGGCCACTTATCCTCCCAGGACCCTGGCTCTACTTGCCTTGTCTGCAAAATGGGAATAATAACAATGGAACCACTTTTCTGAAGGGACAGTGGGATCCTCAATGAAGATAATGTATTCAGAGGCCTAGCACTGTATTGGCACATAGTAGGTGGTCAATAAATGGTAGTTTTCTTTCTTGCCTGCTACCCAGGTTTTGATGGAGGCTAAGCTCATAGGGCTGGGGAGAGGGCTATCGTTAAGCAAAAGAATATAAAAATATCTGACCTTTGCAAATTTTCTGACAACCTGTGACCACATGGACACATTGTTAGAAGCCTCTAGAACTTTGGAAGGAGCCTGTACACGTGAGAGGTCCTGGAGCTTGAGCTCCACGAAGTTCAAGTTCAATCCATTTCCACTCCTGCGGCTCTCACTCCCCACTCCACACACACATACACACAGCCCCTCCCTGCTCCTCTGCCCCAGGCTGTCGCTTTAATTTTTAGGGGTTTACCCTTGCTGACTGCAGGGAAACAGAGACTGACAAAATAAGAAAGTCTGGGGAAGTTACAGAGTGACAAAGTGCTCATGGCAGCTTTTAAAATAGAACTCGTTTAGCTTCCCCTTCCTGGGCTCCATTGCCATTCCTGGGAAGCTCCATGGCTGCTGTAGACTCAGTCTTGCGTCTTGGGATGGAACTCACCGTGGCTCCTCTCTGTATTCTTCCAGCAATTTCTGCCTCTGTTCTAACCTCCCTGCAACTCATAGGTACCAGAACCCACTGTAGGAAACCAGGGCAGGAGAGGTTGTGGGAGAACTGGTGCTTCCACAGGGAGCGGAGTCATAGTGAGCTCATTGTCCTCTAAAGGGCTTCCCAGCCTGCATCTCCAATCCCTGTGTCTCTTGCATATGCAGGAACAGGGAATTTGTCATTATGTCTTGATGGGGCATGGTAGGGTTGAGTGTTGATCCAGCATCTTCTCCTAGATTCACTTACTTTAGAAAGGAGTGTTCCAGGCCGGGTGCAGTGGCTCACGCCTATAATCCCAGCACTTTGGGAGTCCGAGGCGGGCGGATCACGAGGTCAGGAGATCGAGACCATCTTGGCCAACATGGTGAAACCCCATCTCTACTAAAATACAAAAATTAGCTGGGTGCGGTGGCACGTGCCTGTAATCCCAGCTACTTGGGAGGCTGAGGCAGGGGAATCGCTTGAACCCGGGAGGCAGAGGTTGCAGTGAGCTGAGATCGCACCACTGCACTCCAGCCTGGCGACAGAGCAAGACTCTGTCTCAAAAAAAAAAAAGAGTGTTCCAGTGCAATACCACAGAAAAATGTTCCAGCATAAATGCCCCTTCTTTACAGCCCCTGCCTGAGTGTGACTGGAAGACACCAGAACTGACCCCTTGCCTCTCTCTCCTTTTCCAGCTGGGCTGTGTCTGAACTGCTGGAGCCTGCAGGAGCTGGTCAGCAGGGACCCGGGCCACTTCCTTATCCTCCTTGAGCAGATCCTGCAGAAGACCCGAGAGGTGAGGGGGAGTCAGGAATTGAAGGGCAGATCTGGGGTCGGCCTCGTAGAGTGGAGAAATAGGTCCCAGAGAACATCATTCCTGGGTGCCTGGACCTCCAGAGGGGCTGGGCAAAGGCCCTGGGAACCTGTGAGTTTTGTGTTTCGGTAGCACTTGCATATGAGAGGTTTCTAAGAAGGGGGTGCATTCAGTAAGAACACATCATACGCGAGCTAGGGTCCTGAGTTCAGCTACAGACATGGCTTATAAGTCCAGATATAGACTAGGAAGGGAGAAGACACTTTACCCAATTCCTTTCCTCAAAAAGATCCATAAAAACAAAGACAGGAAAGAGAAAACTGATCGGAAAGGTAAACTGAGGCCTCCTCTCTTAGTTCAGTCAATGGCTTCATGACAAAGAAGAGGAATGGGTTTAGTGCTGAGCTGGGCTTGGGTTCCAGAATAGCTGTGAGTCCCAAAAGAGGATTTGGGCTCTTTTGTAAAGAATTCTCTTTTATGGTTGTGTGTGTGTGTGTGTGTGTGTGTGTGTGTGTGTGTGTGTGTTTTAATTATTTTAAATACATGTGATTTGGAAAACATGTCACTTTCACTCTCGGCTACCTATCCCTGTAAGAAGATGCCCAAGGTTACAGTTCTGGCCCCACTATTTACCTGGTAGTTTTTTCCTTCATCATAAGCCAACCAGCTCAGAAGAGCTGAACCACCTCTGGAGCGCATAACATATAAACCCAAATGGAAAGTCTGGATCACCGTGTAGCAAAAGAGGAGGGTTTCATAGAAAGGTCTGATCTGCAAGGCTTGGTAGACACATTGTCTATTAAGGATAAAGAGAAGGAAGATTCTAAATTTGAGCCTACTGGGCTCATCTAGCAGAGAAGACATGATGGGGCTTTCTCTGTATCTCCAACCCCCATGAGTTCCAAAATGGACCGAGAAACCTTCTGACCAATGAATTCTAAATCATGTGGTGTGCACATGTGTGCATGTGGTGTGGTAGGTTGTATCAGAGAGGCAGTTCACAAAAGGAGAAATAGAAGTTGTAAACAAATATGAAAAAGCGATACTAAAATAAATGCAAATTAAAACCATAATGAGACAAACTTTGCCTAACAAATTAGCTAAAAAACAAAAGGTAAGGCCAGGTACAGTGGCTTGTGCCTGTAATCTAAGCACTTTGAGAGACTCAGGTGGGAGAAATCCTTGAGCCCAGGAGTTCAAGACCAGCCTGGGCAACATAGCAAGACCTCGTCTCTACAAAAAAATACAAAAACTAGCCAGTTGTGGTGGTGCACACCTGTAATCTCAGCTACTTGGGAGGCTGAGGCAGGATTGCTTGAGCCCAGGAGGTCAAGGCTGCAGTGAGCCAAGATCGTGCCACTGCACTCCAGCCTGTGCGACAGAGCAAGACCCTATTTCTCTCTCTCTCTCTCTTTTTTTTTTTTTTTGTTAAAAAAAGATAAAAACCAATGCAGGAAAAGCATGGTGAAAATCGTACTTTTATATATATAGATAGTATAAATGGCAAAATCCTTTTGGAAAGCAATATGACAATATGTCTCAAAGGTCATAAAAGTCTATAAACATGTTGATAATCTTTGATCTGTTGACTCCACTTCTTGAACTCCTTTCTAGATTAATAATCCAAATTATGGAAAAAGGAATGTGCTGCATAGTAGTGTTCATTGCAAAATATGTAAAATACCAAGAAAATAATCTTGAATGTCCACAATGAAACTAATAAGATGCCAGGCATGGTGGCTCACGCCTGTAATCCCAGCACTTTGGGAAGCCAAGGCGGGCGGATCATGAGGTCTGGAGATCAAGACCATCCTGGCCAACATGGTGAGACCCCATCTCTACTAAAAAAAAAAAAAATACAAAAATTAGCTGGGTATGGTGGCACGTGCTTGTAATCCCACCTACTTGGGAGGCTGAGGCACAAGAATTGGTTGAACCCAGGAGGCGGAGGTTGCAGTGAGCCGATATTGCACCACTGCACTCCAGCCTGGCGACAGAGCGAGACTCCATCTCAAAAAAGAAAAAGAAACTAATAAGTTATGGAGGTCTACCAGAAGGAGTATAATGCAGCTAAAAATGATGGATATTATCCAAGGGCATAAATAAAATTTAATATATGATACAATTACATCATAAGATTTATTAAATGGCTTAGGGAAAATTGACTAAACATTTGGAAAAAGATAGAGTGAGATCCCCAACTGACACCATATAGCAGGTGAAATTCTAGTTGCACTAAATATTTCTCCTTTTTTTTTGGAGACAGAGTCTCAGCCTCCCGAGTAGTTGGGATTACAGGTGTGCGCCACTGTGCCCAGCTAATTTTTGTATTTTTAGTACAGATGGGGTTTTGCCATGTTGGTCAGGCTGGTCTCGAACTCCTGGCCTCAAGTGATCCACCTGCCTCGGCCTCCCAAAGTGTTGAGATTACAAGCATGAGCCACTGGGCCCAGACTAAATATTTCAATTTCAGAAAACGAAGCTTCAAAGAAGATAAGAAAGTATATATGAATATTTACATGATCCTTGCATGCAAAAGCAAAAATCCATGAAGGAAAAATCAACACCTGTAATTTCTGTACATCAAAAATATTTATAAAATTAAAAGGCAAACAACCAACTGGAAAAAAATATTTATAACACAAATAACAGGTAAATGTATAACCAGAAGGGAAAAAAGGTGGTCTTAGAGACCGTATAGTAAAACAGAAATTTACTTATAATACTATATGTAAAATACGTTAGGAGTAAAAATATACACACAGCTTATAGCTTCGCAGACACAGGAACAGAAAACCAAACACCGCATGTTCTCACTCATAAGTGGGATTTGAACAATGAGAACACATGGACACAGGGAGGGGACATCACACACCGGGGCCTGTCGGGGATGGGGGACAAGGGGAGGGAGAGCATTAGGACAAATACCTAATGCATGTGGGGCTTAAAACCTAGATGACAGGTTGATGGGTGCAGCAAACCACCATGGCACATGTATACCTATGTAACAAACCTGCCCGTTCTGCACATGTATCCCAGAACTTAAAATAAAATTTAAAAACAAAGAAAAGAAAATACATAGGGCAAAAATGGCATCAGAAGAGGGACATTGAAACAGCTGTGGTTGGGTTTGGGAGGGGAAATTGTAAGTGTTTTCGTTTACATCCATTTTCCAAATGTTTGTCATGTGATTGCACTATTTTCCCCTAAAAAAAAAAAAAAAAGAAAGGCTAGAATGAGGAAGAACCACTGTATTCTGCCTCAGGGAGCCCTGGACCCCGTGAATGAGGCTCATTCCCCTTCTCCTCCTCTCCACAGGTCCAGGAGAAGGGCACCTACGACCTGCTCACCCCGCTGGCCCTGCTCTTCTATTCCACTGTTCTTTGTGTAAGTCCACGTGGGCCAGGATGCTGGAGGTGAGGGAGGAGGGGGAGGAGCGACCTCTATCTGGGGCAGAGCCCTCACACCTCTGGAGATAAGCAGAGAGAGAAACTGTCAAGCAGCGGCATGTGAAATGGGTTTCAACCCTTAGATGGCTTCAGAGCAGCCACCATGAGAGGCTTCTGGTGACTCCATGTGGCCGCCATGGTGCCTGGCATCTCTGGGCTCCCATGTTGGAACTGCTGTCACTGTCTGTTCACAGGCCACAAGAGATATTCTATGTCCACCTCATTTTTCACCCCAGTAGTCGGTTTCACCCAATGTGATCACCCCCTGTATTCACCAGACAGGGGGGCATCAAATGTGTACACTGACTGAATCCATCCTCAAAAAATAAACATTTACCTGTAATGAGGCTATTTAAGTAAAGGTGGTTTAGGCATTGAAGACCATTATCCATAACAAGTGTCAGCAATGGCACCATTTACCAGTAAGGGGACAGCCTTTCAGAGAGGCTCACTCAAGCATTGGGTAAAGCAAGTCCCTCCCAGTAGAGACACCCTGGGTGCCATCTTGCCCATCTGTAACCCACTCCCTGTGAGTAACTTCCAGTTCCACCTGACCTTGTCCTGGGACACGCTGCGGCCAGGAAATGTGTGTCTTTTGTGGAATATTCCAGAAAGGGAGCAGAAGCTGTCTGGGACTATCTGAGCCTTTTCTCACCTAGATCTCTTTGCTTGTTGCCTGCCTCCATCCTAGACACCACACTTCCCACCAGACTCGGATCTCCTTCTGAAGGCAGCCAGCACCTACCACCGGTTCCTGACCTGGCCTGTTCCTTACTGCAGCATCTGCCAGGAGCTGCTCACCTTCATTGATGCTGAACTCAAGGCCCCAGGTAAGCACTGAGGCAGCTGGCACGGGGGACAGGGCTCAGAAGGTCAGAATGCTTCCAACTCCTCTGAAACTGTTTTTTGTGACCCTCCTTACCTTGCATCCTTTGATTCATCTCTGCCAACGCCTTGGTTCACAAACATGGAGTCTCCTCTTCACAGCACCATCAAGCATCTGATGGTTGAATCCACACAAGATGAAAGTAAATATGGGAGGTAACTCGAGGAGGGATTGTTAGGGGAAGTAGGAGCAGGCACTCAGGGCAAGGAGACCCCACCTTGGCCTGTGCCTCTGATCTGGTTAGTCAAGGGGTCTCCAAGGCTACCCAGATCAGACAGAGAAGCCCCCAGGATGCTGACAAGAGGGCTTTGCATGTTCTCTGTGCCCCAGGAACAAGTAGGTAATTGTGTGTGTGGGTTGATGCAGTTTGGGTTGGGGAAGGTGGCTGGTACTAGGAACAATGACCACTGTGACAAATGTGGACAAGACCCGGGACTCAGTTTTCATGTGTGGGGTCTGAAAAGTAAGAATTCTTCAGAAATTGCAGGTGCTGTCATAGACATGCAAATCAGGTCTAAGGAAGCTACAGTAGTGCAGGAGAAAACTTAGCAAGTGTGATTTACTGAGAAGCGGCTCAGCGAATCAGTACTCAAAGGAATAAATTCGCAAAAGCATCTCAATAGATGCCTCTAAAATATTTCATAAAATTCATCATCATTCCTGATATTCAAAACCCCTCAATATATGGAAACGATTACTCTAGAAGTGCTTTTAATATGGCAACAGCCCAAGGTAAAATACTAGAGGCATGTTCTTTAGAGCCAATAATCTTCCTCTTTTGGCTTATAGGTATTTGCCTATGCAAAAAGACAAAAATAAAGAATACTTTCTCTTCTGAAGAAGAGAAATTTTAATTAGTTGGAGCTCAAACAATTGGTTTTCTGTCGAGACTGAGAGAATCCCCTGAACAAAGAATTGTCAGAACTAGAAAACAGGTAGCTAAGAGCTTTTTTTATAAACCAGCATTAACCAGTGAGAAAACATAATTTTAAAAAATTTACAATAGCAATTAAAAATAAAAAATAAAAGAAATTTTAATAACCTATATAGAGAAAACAAACTTTGCTGAAGAATGAATAATTGAAGAATCGTATTGCTGGGTTGAATCAATATTGTAACGAGACCAGGTGTTAGGAAAGTAAACGTAACCACAATCAAAATACCAAGATATTTTTAAAATTTATAAAATATATGTAAACTAAAAAACATAATATATAAATATTTTACAAATAAATAAATTTATATATAAAGAAAATAAAAAAATCTATTTGAAAGATTTATTTATGCACTTAGTATATATTCATTCATGTATTTTTAAAGGAGAGTAAGAAGGAAATATTTCCATTTTTTGAAGGTACTATAGGGCTATAGTTATTAAAATAGTACACTATGGGTATAAGAATAGATAGATAATGGAAGAAGATGTAATATCTAGAAATATATTAAATATACAAAATTATATTATATGACAAAGTGGCATCCTCAAATTACTGATGAAAAAATCAGTCATTTCATAGATGATATCAGGATAATTGGTAGACCATAAAAAATATTGAGTTAGAAGACTATCTAAAAAGGCCAGGTGTGGTGGCTCATGCCTGTAATCCCAGCACTTTGGGACGCCAAGGCGGGCAGATCACCTGAGGTCAGGAGTTCGAGACCAGCCTGACCAATATGGTGAAACCCCATCTCTACTAAAAATAGAAAATTAGCTGAGTGTGGTGGCATGAGCCTGTAATCCCAGCTACTCAGGAGGCTGAGGCAGGAGAATCACTTGAACCCAGGAGGTGGAGGTTCAAGTGCCTCCGAGATCACACCATTGCACTCCAGCCTGGGCAACAAGAGCGAAACTCTGTCTCAAAAAAAAAAAAAAATTCTATCTAAAAAATAAAATTAAGAGTTCTAATGCAAACATAAAAATAACTTTTAGATACATTAAAGGTTTAGGTGTAGAAGACAAGACCACAAAAACTACAGAAGAAAAATAGGTTGTATTAGCCTGGAGTGGAGAAGAGCTGCCAAACATATTCCCCAGGGCAAAAATTATAAAGGAAAAGACTAACAGATATGAAAGCATAAAATTTAAAGCTTTTCATATGGCAAGCCCACTTTGAGTGAAAGGTAAATGACAAACTGAGAAAAATATTTGCAATAAAAATTAATATATCAGGCCAAGTGCTGTGGCTCAGACCTGTAATCCCAGCATTTTGGGAGGCCGAGGTGGGCAGATCATGAGGTCTGGAGATCGAGACCATCCTGGCCAACATGGTGAAACCCGTCTCTACTAAAAATACAAAAATTATTTGGGCGTGGTGGCATACACCTGTAGTCCCAGCTACTCGGGAGGCTGAGGCAGAGAATCGCTTGAACCTGGGAGGCAGAGGTTGCAGTGAGTCAAGATCGTGCCATTGCACTCCAGCCTGCAGACAAAGCGAGACTCCATCTAAAAAAAAAAAAAAAAAAAAAAAAAATTAATATATCAAACCCATGAAGAGGTTTTTTTTTTAGTCCATTAAGAAATAGGCAAATACACTTATGGAAATATGAATAAATATGATTCAAGTACATCAAAAAGAACCCCCCAAAATATTCACCCTCACTACTCATAAAGAAAATGCAAAACTAAAGAGCAAGACTCTTCTTCCCCCCCTATCAAATTGGCAAAAATTAAAAAGAAAGAACAAAAATGCCAGCGCTGGTGAGGAATGGGGGGCTGTGTTTGCTAAAGCATCAGAAAGCATACCCTTTCACCCAGCAATTCCATTCCTCAATTTTATCCTGATGAATCCCTATGGATGTACAAAGATGTAGCTACAAAACAAAGACGTTCATCAACGCATCCTTGCTAATAATCAACCAATGCCAAAAAACCTAAATATTGAACATGGTTGAGTATACTGCGGCAAAGTCATTTGGTGGAATGATATTCAATTATTAAAAATGATATTGTAGAAATAGTTACTGAGCTCAAAAGATGTTGAATAACTAGTTGAGCGAAAAAGCAGTCCCCCCAATACTAAGTATGTTATAATCCCATTTTTGTTTTCTCTCTTTCTAATGTATACATGCACCAGGTCCTGTTTAGTACTGGCAGCGTTTAATTCTCACCTTACACATTAAACACACACAGAACAGAAGTACCAAATCTTATTCCCCAACAACTTATGGACCCTAGAAAGCTCAAGACTGGCTTGTAAATTTCTTTGGAAGTGTTCATAACTTTCCTACCCAACCAGTTACCTGATCTGTCTGCGCCCCACCCAGTCAGCTGACCTGTCTGTGCCTCGCCCAATCAGCTGATCTACCTGCCCCCCCATCAGTCAGCTGTCTGTCATTACAAAGAGCAGAGCAAGTACAGCTAGGGATGGCCAACCCCCAAGTCTACCTATAACAAGGTCCTCACCTCATGGTAGAGACTTGGGTGGAGATTTAGGACATCAGGAAGACCCTTAGGAGGCGCTGGACTCTGAAAGGTAAAAGCTGGGTTTGCCAACCCAGCTTCCCAAGGAAAGGAACAAACCAGTTAAAGGAACAAACCCTAAAGGAACACGCCAGTTTAAGGTCAAACTCCTTCATTCCCTCCCACACTCCCTCCCACTGTCCCCCAAAACAAACAGATCAGAATGCCTTCTGAGCTTCTGGTTGGTGACTGAAGTTCCTTTGCTAGGAGGCAATGCCTTTCTTCCTTTCGAGTACGCTCAGAGAAAGAATTTAAAATGCAAATGTCTTGGCAGGGCGTTGGGTTTCCACCAAAGACCGAAATGATTCTTTTTTATTTTGAAAAGGATAAGAGAGTTGTGGGGTTGGGGGAGGGGATTACCTGTGGGGAGACCACTTCCCAGTTTCAAGTAGAACCGGCTGTCCCTCCTCAGCTCAATGCACGCTATGCCTTGAGATATTTTTGCAGGCGGCTGGGTAGAAACTCCGTTCTGGGCAGCACAGAAAGCAGATGTGCCACGGAGGTGCTGGCGGTGGTGAGGCCCTGGCCCTGGAATGATAACATGTGAAGCCTGCAGCACAAGGGCCAGGCAGGGCAGCAGCTGGAGCCGGAAGTAGAATGAGGGTCCTTTGGCCTCAGAGCAGGGGGGACTCTTGGAACCATCACTCACTGCTGATGGCCTTTTCCTCCACATCCTTCCCGGGACCATGTGAAGCTTCAGATATCCTGGTGACCAAGGAGAAGTCAGATGCCCCAAGAGGGCAGCTCAAGCCAAGTACCCATGGCAGGAACCTCTCCTCTTCCAGGGAAAGCAGAACCAAAATAGGAAACCATCAACTCTCCCTCGTTTCGGGGAATCATTTTCAAACAGTTCCAAAACCTCACACATACGTAAATATACAGTGAGCCTGTGCCCGCTCATTAATGAGGAAACCAGCACGATGATAGAGCTGGCTTAAAGGAGGATCCAAGAAACTGAGATGAGCTCCTCATGGAAGCTAGAGTAAGACTCAAAGTTAGATACCAAATAGTTAACATCACAGAGGGGAATAAAACCATAACCTTTGAGGTTATCTTTTCTATTGAACAAAAATCTCTTGCAACTTATCTCACATCCACCAGTTAACCTTCAATTTTAAAGAACCTAAGCCCTAATTAATGACAGATAGTTAAACAAAATTACCTTCTACATGACCCTTAAATGAGCTTGTTGAAAAATACTTTCGCACGATTTTTTTTTTTTTAAGATGGAATCTCGCTCTGTCACCCAGGCTGGAATGCAGTGGCACGACCTCGGCTCACTGCAACCTCTGCCTCCTGGGTTCAAGCGATTCTTCTGCCTCAGCTTCCCGAGTAGCTGGGACTACAGGCGTGCACCACCATGCCTGGCTAATTTTTGTATTTTTAGTAGAGACGGGGTTTCACCATATTGGCCAGGCTGGTCTCGAACTCCTAACCTTGTGAGCCGCCCACCTCGGCCTCCCAAAGTGCTGGGATTACAAGCATGAGCCACCGCGCCCAGCCTTTCCTATGATTTTCAACAGGCCTGCTGCCCAATTCCTGAGTCCCTCCCACCCCCAGTTAAGTGGAGAAAGAGCTAGGATGGAGGCCAGGGAACTTGAATGCTTGAAGGAGAGGCTGAATAACTTAGTGGCTTCTAGTCCTTGGGACCAGACCATTGTACTTGCAAATACTGGGTCTGCTACTTACTAACTGTGGGCCTTCAGCAAGACGTTTAGCTTGTGAGCTTCCGTTTCCTCATCTGTAAAATGGGTGTATAGCAATGCCTCCCTGTCAATGCAGTTAGTGAGGATTAATGTTGGCCTAATTGATTTCACAGTGCTGGGGGCAGTAAGGGTTGCAGTGGTGTTAGCTTAGAAGGTAGGTCCTGGTAAAGTCACAGGGAGAAATGAGAAGGGACGTGGGGAGGTGGGCCCTCCCCCCGTGAAGTCTTAGGGACCCAGTTGCCATGGAAATGAATGAAACAGTTTATCCTGCTTTGATGTGGCTGGGTGGCAGAGGAAGTGGGCCTGTTATCAAGGCTGGGGGCCTCCCCCTGCTTCCTGACTCCACCCCCGTATGATCGCCCAGTGCCTCAATTCTGGAGGTAGCAGGAAACCTCACGTCAGTGCCACTGGGTCCTGCCCACCACAGCCCTCTTGGGCTCAGCCCACATGTTTATTGAATATTTACTCTATGCCTGCATAGCTGTGCCGACCACAATACTTTCCTGCAAAGAATTTACCTGTAAACCTGGGGGATGACATGGGGCATCTTACATGCAAACCGCTCTGCAATTTTCAAAGCACACAGACCTCAAGGATTGCACCTTGCCTGTAGGGGAAGAAGGAAAAGTCATATTCTTCTCATTATAAAATGGGAAATGATTTTGAGAAGACCAAGTTCAGTATTTCTTGTTTAAGCTACAAAGTGAAGTATGAAAGAGGGAACACGAACCCTTGTATGACAGAGACCTACACTTCGTCACTTATTAGTTAATGACCTTGGACAAGTTCCTTAGACTCTCTGAGCCTCCTGGTCAAAAGCAGGATTATAATTATCGTTGATGATGATGACGAGGAGGACAGCAATGATGCCAGGGTTGCTTATGGCATATGAAGCACCGTCATAGGTTGGTCCCATCTAACCCTCAGAACACCTCCCTGGGTAGTTACTATTATTCCCATTTTTCAGATGCTGAAACTGAAGGCTCGACATTTATGTAACTTGCCCCAGGTCACATAGCTGACAAGAGCTCTACCACTTGAACCCATATCTCTTTGATACCAAAAGTCATATCCCATCCTTTTCACATTTGCATAAAGCTGTGTTTCTACCAAGAGGCACTGACAGATGGCTGCATGACCCTGGGTTGCCCAGGCTGTCTTTTTATAAACGCTCTCCCCCTTGGGGAATTTCTCCTGCCCCTTTCCCTTTGGGTTGCTTAATATGGCTTCATACCCTTTGACTTCCTATCAAATGGGGAACAAACCTGGGTTAGGTCAGTTTTGCTTATCAGCGGGTGGCAGGTGAATTCAGAATGTTCTTCAGTGGTGTTACATTTCTCTGGGGACATTACTGATCACAGACATTTGGATTTTATACTTTTTGTCTCTGGTTATGGAATGAAAGGTTAGACCTCTTGAAGGATGTCAAACATCATTGACTAGTAGGTGGGGGAGGTTTAGGGAAAAGAGTAGAGGCAGGTGTTCCAGAAACCACACGGTGTGATCAGTTAGGACTGAGCTGGCTGCCTATAGCAGAAAGCCCCAAACAACTATGCCTTAAACTCTCAGGGGCTATTTTTCTTTTACACACAGACACACAGACACACACACCACACACACACACATACACACACACAATCTGTATGAAGGCAGGCCAGCATTGGCATGGTGGCCCCATGAACATCCTGGACCAGCCTTCCCTCATCTTTCCACTCCACCATCCTTGGCAAAAGTCACCATCTTCAAGGTTGCTTCTTGGTCTAGGATGGCTGCTGGAGTGCTGGCCATCATGTCCACATTCCAGTTAACAGAAAGAAGGAGGTGAGGGGGGTTGCACCTAACACATTCTGCAAGGGAGGTTGAGAAATTGACTCATCAACTGGGTACAATGCCCAGTGTCCCACTCATAAAAAAACGAGGAATGGATATTGAGTAGATGCCTAGAAGTCTCTGCCACATATGACTTACTTGTAAGAGTAGCCCATAAGGCCTGGATTGGTCCTGTTAGGGTGACTCTCACCAGGGTGGTGAAAGGGTGTTATGAAAGGTCTCATCTCAGTTCGCCCCCACAAGCCCGGTGGCTCTGCAAAGCTGGAGACCTCATCCCACAGGCGTTTCCGTGGGGTCACTGCACCTGTTCAGAGCAGCATATGTCTTGTGGTGGCACTGGCCTTTCATTCCAAGAACTCACATCTCCTCTGCCTGCATGAAGGCCTGCCCAGTGGGTTCCTTCCCCCCAGTATTTTCCTCTTGGCTTTCTAGCCACATTCCTTCTCACCTTCCCCCTCTCTGCTCCTGGACTCCCGGTGGCCAGAGATTCCGAGCCTCCCTTGTTATGTCTTCTCCTTTGTTTATTCACCTGAAATCCGTGCTTCACCTTCCTGCCCAGGCCCTGCTGAGGCCCACAGCCATGAGTCCCCAATTCCTCCAGCCTCTCTGGAGTCCAGGACCCTGGGGATGGGGAGCAGGAAGGCGCTATACATGGGACCCCCAGTGAGGAGGGAAGTGTAAGAGAAACCCTGCTGTGGGGAGTGGTGTGCCTGGTGTTTGCTTCAGGGTATGAGGTAGGTCAAACTGTCCACCATGAGTTGATATTAATCATAGTTGCTGGAGAACCAAACCTGATCTAGTCTCATTTGGAGATTGCAATGCCGTTGGGGCCGGGCTCTGCTTCCACCCTGTTGATTCCGTGGAATCTTGGTGTTCCCCTTGTAGGAGGAAACTGAGTCAGATGTGGTTGCTCCCTGCCTCCCCCAGGCTCAAGTACCCACATCACCCTCAGCATGGACCTGTCTATCCGTGTGTCATTAATACCAGTGCTTGCTTGATGGCAGATGTAGTGATTTTCCTGTGTCCTGGATCTTCACAGTCTGCTGTTCTGTGCAGGATCCCCATCTATTTGCAACTTTGAAAAAGAGTGGAAGCTTTGATGGGTGAACAAGGCTTAATGGCGAAGGGCCTTGGACACCTGGGCCAGGAGTTTGAACTTCACTATGAGTGTGTTCTGCCCACTCACCCCGTTCTTCGCCTGTATGGGGTGACTTCTCTCAATTTCTTACTTGCTAGAGCCTGACGTAGGAACAACCCAGGCAAGATTTTTGTTTAGCCCTTGCACCAATCTTGATCTAAGAAGCTAAACTCAGAAAGTTGTTTCCATCTGCTAAGGTGACCAAGAAAGGGTGTGATCTAAGATCAAAGGGAGAGAGGTGTCTGTGGATCTGAGGCTCCCCAGTGCAGCCTCCCTGTTTGGGGAGTGGAGGGTGGAGTTAAGGGTGGTCTCGAAACTGACATTGCACACCCCACTTAGCATTCATGGCCTCCCTGGCATCACCAGGTAACATTGTGAAAACCAAGCCCATGGAGGGTGCTGGGAGATATTTCCAACCTCACAGCACATACCAGCAAATGGGGACTCGGCAGTACAATCTCTAAGCCAGGCTCAAAGGAGTCAGTCTGTACAAAAGCTTATATTATCAAAGCCTCCTCCACATTGCACAGTCTTTTCTAATGTGTTCCCAGCTCAGGCCCCAGCCCACCAGTTAATTACCCCAAAACCCCACACCCCATGCTAAGCAGGGAGGTCCATTACCAAGAGAGGCCAAGGAAGGGGGTTGATGGTGTTTTGGGGGTGAGGGCGGGAGTTTATCTGATGATCATAGGTTCTGCTTGGGAACTGTTGGTACCTTGGGTATTCAGCACCAGCCAAACAACTCTGAAAATCACTCTCTCTGGGTCAGAGTGTGCCAAGAGGCACAGGTATCCTCCTAAATATCCCCCATTAAAGCAACGGGACACATAGAGCAACAGTCGCGTGGAGTCCACGTAGCTCATACGAAGCAGCTTCTGATTCTAACTGTAGCACAATCCTAAAATGAGACTAAGGCACACGAATATAGATGTTAGAGACTGCTCCTCATCCTAGAGACAAGAGGAGACGAAGGAGCTTCAAGGAGAAGGTTGTCAACAGTACCAAGCACTCCAAAACAAAAGTTCAAGCAGCGTGAGGATGAGGTTGGGCCGTTGGGTATGGGGACGGGGAAAATGTTGCCAAGCTTCAGGAGAGCAGGGTCAGGAGGGCAGAGGGGTTGGAAGCCAATGGCTGGGCGTGTTGGAAGAAAGCTGATGTGGAGGGAGAGCGACGTCAGAGTCTACTGCTTCCTGGAGTATGACCGCCTGGATGTCCTTGGTCAACAGAGGCAGAAGTGGCGGTGAAGAAATGGGGTCAGCGGGGTGTGGGTTAATGTTAAAAGCATTAAACAGTAAAAGAAAAGAGAAATAAGGTCAAGAGAAGATTTTGCGTATCTATGTGTTTTATGGTCAGGGAGATGGGGAATATCTGTTTGTCTCCGCTATGGTAGCTATGGTATTATGTAGAGGTGGTTGGAGAGCGGGTGAGGATCTCTTCTCTGTAATGCACGTGAGTGGCCACCAGATGGTGTCCCAAGTCCTGATGTAATAGCCACTGTGTCAAGGACTTATCTGGCAAAATGGACCAAACGTTAACTTCTAAATATGCGATGATTACATAAAGTAAACATCACGCAAAAGGCCAAAAATCAAAGCAATTAGGTCCCAAGTTAGAAGAGCATTATGTGGTAATTTTCTGCCTTTTACTAAAGGAACCTCACAGCCTTTCTATTTATAGCTGTCTTTAAACCCCAACCCCCGCCCTACCCCGCCCCCGAGACTTGCACTTCTGAGGGGACGTCCTGCAGGTTCCCAGCTCAGTCCCAGTTCAGAGTGGCCCTGCTCTCGATGGGGACTGCCCTGGGCCTATTTCCAAGCTATGACAAGAAGGCGACCCACCCCGCTGGGTCCCCAGCCCCTGCTCTGTGAGGGAGTGAACTCCCGCTTTCTGTTTCATCTCCTTGTCATGGTGGAAACAGAACTGAATGCACACTGTAAAGCGACTACTGTGCACAACAGAGTCAAGCTGCAGAAACAAAAGGAAAACCTTTGGTGTGTTTCTTCTCAGCATTTGGAAGTCAGAGGAGACAGAGAGGGGGAAGGGCCAGGGAGAAAGGGGATGCGGGCTGGGAGAGGAGCCTGGGATGCAGATGCCTCAGAGCACGGAGGACGCCAGGCCAGACCACAGTCCTTCCCGATCCCCGGACTCCAGGCAGAGACGGGGAGGTGCAGGTGGGGAAACTCGAAACCCACTGCCTGGCTGGAGCTAAGGCAAAGTGGATGGGCTGAGAGGTGCCTGGCATAGCGGGAAGGCACCCCGGACCGGGAGAGGGGGCAGCGGCAGGGACCGAGGAGTAGCCCTGCGGCACAAGACGGGGCAGCCTCCTGGGCCCAGGTTCTGCCTCCTGCGATGCTCCGCCTCCCAGTCTCTGAAGAGAGAAACTTTAAGTTGGTCAAGCCATGGTGGGGCCTGGGAATCATAGACTGTTAAAGGCCTCAGAGGCCACGGATCTAATCTGGCCCTTCCCAGGAGAAACTGAGGCCCAGGGCTAAAGTGACCTGGCCAAGGCCACGCAGAAGAGCTGGAATAGAACTCAGGCTTCCGACACGGGCTCTCACCCTGGATCTCTTTCTCTCCAGCTAGGCTGCCTCCAAGCCTGGAGCCGGGACCTGAGCCACAAGGGGAGTGGAAAGCTCTTAGGAAGGGAGGGCAGTCAGAGAGGCCACGGGAATCCAGAGGACAGCGAGGCCCAGGACCGAGTTTTGGTGTTGGAGGTGGAGGTGGGGATATGACTCGTGAGGTGTAAAAGGACGCATAGAAGCAAACTGCTAGGCACCCTGGAGGGTCCACAGAACAGCTTCTCTGCAGGTTCGCCTGAGCTCCATCCGGGAATTTCCAACCTGATTGTCCAGTGCTTGGCTCCCCACGAGGCACACGGACGATGCTGAAGGAACTGATCAGCCCATGAACTCTTTTCTTCTTGACCCACAGGGATCTCCTACCAGAGACTGGTGAGGGCTGAGCAGGGCCTGCCCATCAGGAGTCACCGCAGCTCCACCGTGTGAGTGCTCTTGGGGGACGGAGAAACAGTGGGGAGGGAGTTTGGGACCCCTGCACTGTTCCACCTTCACCCTCCTCCCCCACTCAAACATCCAGTGCCCCCACCCCCTGTCCACCCCAGCCAGCAACAAACAGGCTTCCAGGGAACTGGGAACCCCCTGGCACTGCTGGTGATATTTTGTGTCCAGGTGTGTTTTTCTAGGCTGACGGTCTTTCACCAGATTCTTAAAGAGGTCTGTATCAATTATGCCAGGTGTTAGGCACACAGTTCCCCCACTTTCATTATTTTCAGATGAGGAACTGGAGGTCAGAGAGGTCAAGCAACTTCCCCAAGGTCACACAGCGAGCAAGGGTACGAGCCAGAATTTAACCCTCAGGCTTATTCAGAAGCCCATGATATTTCCACAATCTCCTTCTGTCTGTTACTAAAACAGTGTTTCCAAACTTTTTTGACCAGGACCTATAAGAAAAATCCATTTTATATGACAGCCTGATACACAAACACACACACACACACACACACACACACACACACACACAGCTGAAATGAAATGTATCCTGGTTACATAGGATGAGCTCTGTTCTATTCTATTTCATTTAAGAAACAAATTTGGCTCCCCAGATGATTTCATTACCCACTCCTGTGTCCTGACCTGCAGTTTGAAAAGCACTAGAGAGGGGGTGCCCATTAGGAGGACCCTCTGCAGGCCTTGAAGAGTTGGGTGCTGTCTCACCTTGACATGTTGGGAGCCCAGGGACCCCGGCCTTCACCACCTCAGAAATTATAGGCCCCCGGCCCTCCTCATTCCCAGCCCCAGGGGTTCACTTCCCACTCACTCCCCTGAGCAACACTTCTTGACTTCCCTCTAGGTGAAAACAAACACAAACAAAATGATAGATGTTGAGACAGAGGGAAAGGATGCTAAAATGTTGTAGTTTAGTAAGTAAATAAGATTCCTCTGGGGGAGCTGGGGCAGGTGGGCTGATGAAGAATCATCAAAGCCCTTTAGACCTTTATTCGGACTCCAGGCACCATCCTAAGCATGGTTACATGTGCTGACTCATTTAATCCTCACGTTAACCCCGTGAGAAAGGGATTTTTCACATAAGGGAAGTGAGGCACCGAGAGATTTGTAGAAAGAGCTTACAGTTGGGAGATGGTCTCACTTTCATTATCTGTAAATTGAGAATGATGATAAATTCTTCGGGAGAGAAATTATGCAAGCTGGTGAGGGCAGGGGCTCGGCTGGGCTCGTTACAAGGTTGTAAGGGGCTGCTTATACAAGCCCACCTCCTTTTTCTTACAGATAGAGAAATCAAAGTGAGTTTCTTCCCAAATGATGGGGACTTTGACAGAGACTAGTCCTGTCTCTGCCCTGTCCCCGGGCACCGACGTCCCCAGAGTGTGGAGGGAATGCTGCCCTGCGTGGTGCTCCTTTGCACTGGGTTTAAACGCAGTGTGGAATTGAGAGAGCAAGAGCTCTCATCACATGCAGCTCATACTAAAGCATTTATGGATACAAAGCCGCCATGGCTCGAATTTGCTTCGAGGTCATGCAGTGATGGAGGGGTTGGCATGGGGGAAGTGAGAACAGCCGTGCGTTGTTAACTGTAAACAGAGTGATCAGCGCCTCAGAGCCCACGATTCTTTTAATTTGGGGTATGTTTGAAAGTTTCCATAGTAGCCGGGCGCGGTGGCTCACGCCTGTGATCCCAGCACTTTGGGAGGCCGACGCGGGTGGATCACGAGGTGAGGAGTTCAAGACCAGCCTGGCTAACACATTGAAACCCTGTCTCTACTAAAAATACAAAAAAAAAAAAAGTTAGCTGGGCGTGGTGGCGGGTGCCTGTAGTCCCAGCTATTTGGGAGGCTGAGGCAGGAGAATGGTGTGAACCCGGGAGGCGGGGCTTGCAGTGAGCTGAGATCGTGCCACTGCACTCCAGCCTGGGTGACAAGAACAAGACTCCGTCTCAAAAAAAAAAAAAAAAGAGAAAGGTTCCATAATAAAGAAATGTAAACACTGGCACCAAGAGGGAATCTGGGTATCCATCGGGAAGGGAGGTAGCAGTGGCCAGGCACACAGTCCCCTCCCAGCCAGTGAAAGCCTGTATCATGGCTTTGGGCTGATTAGAAAAGGTGTCCCTCATAAGCTCAGGAAGAAGATGCACTCTGACTTGGCATCCCCTCCTCCGGGCAGATGCAGCCCCACGGCACGAGGAATTTCATGTCCCGCTCGCCCCAGACCACACTGCACAGCACCACGTTGCTGTCCAGCTCCCCCTGAAAACTGATCGCTTGGCTTCAAGTCACCTTGCCTAAAATATGATCCTCATTTGAGTAATCTTGCATCCACTCAGCTGTCTCATAGGAAAAAACGTTTATATAAAAATTAAGTAAATTTAGTTTTAAAGAATTAAGTTCAATTTTGAAAAGATCTTTGAAAACAACAGCTGAAAAATGCTCAGCAGTGAACCCCACGCTTTCCCCTGGAAACCTGGACCCTGGAGCTGTTGCTTCTGTCCTGGCCTCCTGTGGTCACCTCCTCGAGCTCTGCCTGGGCTTGAGGAGGCCCTGGTCTCAGTGGAGCTGAGCACCAGCAGGCACGAGGGGGGTGGCTGCACTGTGGCATGCTGCGCACCCCTGGGTGCCATAGCCGGTCCCCTGTGTCCCCAGCACCGTGCTGCTGCTGAACCCAGTGGAAGTGCAGGCCGAGTTCCTTGCTGTAGCCAATAAGCTGAGTACGCCCGGACACTCGCCTCACAGTGCCTACACCACCCTGCTCCTGCACGCCTTCCAGGCCACCTTTGGGGCCCACTGTGACGTCCCGGGCCTGCACTGCAGGCTACAGGTATGTACCTGGGGCCTGGGGCTCTGGTGGAGCACCTCTCTGAGGAGGTAGCACCCTCTCCCTGCTTCATCTCAGCCACGGTCTCCAGGGTACACTTAGTCTCCTGCACCCAGGTGACATGGCAGGGTGGTGGCTGGAGGGCTGACCTCATAGAGGGTGTTTCTGGTGTGCTGGATCCTAACCAGCTGGGTGGCAGCCTGGGCAGTAGGACTGGGTGCTGATAACTGGTGCCTCAGAAGATGGCATATGCCATAAGAACGAGAATGAGCTTTGGGCTGAAGACCTGGCATCTAGGCCTGGCTCTGTCACAGGTGTCACAGGTCGGCTGTGTCACCCCACACAGCTCCTTCCCCTCTATGGGGTACAGTGAGGAGCGCTGAAGTCCCTCCTAACTGCAGTGCCGTGGCTCTGGATCTTTCTCTCCTGACCATTTCCTGAGAATGGAAGGGCAGGGAGAGGCCTGGCTGCCTGGCCAGCTGTGGGTAGGAGATGGGTGATGAGGCTGGGAGGGGACAGATCACTGCCTCCCTCAGTAAGAAGCTAGCAACTGGAACAGGTGGACAGCTAGCTCACGGTCCAGGAGCAAAGCCCATCTCCTCCTGGGGTTTCAGGCCAAGACCCTGGCAGAGCTTGAGGACATCTTCACGGAGACCGCAGAGGCACAGGAGCTGGCATCTGGCATCGGGGATGCTGCAGAGGCCCGGCGGTGGCTCAGGACCAAGCTGCAGGCGGTGGGAGAAAAAGCTGGCTTCCCTGGGGTGTTAGGTGAGGCTCTTGGGAGAATGGGGTTCTCCCACATTCCCCATGGCCTATTCTAGGTCCCAAGGTGCACGGTCCAGGCGGGCCTGGTGGCTCTGCTCCACACAGTCACTCAGGGACTCAGCTTCTTCAGCATCTCACTGCTCTGCCATCCCCTAGGGTGTCTCATTCCTGTCTATAGGGGCAGGGTGGGGGTGCTATCATGATGGCAGCTTGTGGGAAGAGGAAAAGAGAGTGCTTACGAGGGCAAAGGCTGGGCTTTTCTGTTGAAGGTGATGCAGAAGCTGGGCACATCACTTCCGCTCATGTTCCTTTGAGCCCGCCTTGGTCACGTGGCCACATCTTGCCCCAAAGGAGCCTGGGAAACATCGTCTCTATGACTCCAGTACCATAGAAGGGAGCACAGACTTTGAGGAACCATTAGCATTCCCTGTTACAATATTCCTCATAAAAACCTTCTGGGCTAGTACTATTATTCTCCCATGGGCACATTGTAAAATGAGGCTCAGAGGTTGTGGTTTGGCCACATTCGCACAGCTCATAAAGGGCATGCCATCTACATGGTGTGCTTGAAAGAAGGGCCTCTGGCTTGGAGCCTGGCACCCTGGCTGTAACTCAGCCTCAGCCTATCCAGCTACATATCCTTGTGCCGATCCTGTCCCATCTCTGGTCTCTTCTCCAAGGCAAGGGGACTGGACTGGCCAATCTCCAAGGCCTCTTCCCAGCCCTCTTCTCCTATCCTCCCTGTTCTTACAGACACTGCAAAACCAGGGAAGCTCCACACCATCCCCATCCCTGTCGCCAGGTGCTACACCTACAGCTGGAGCCAGGACAGCTTTGGTAAGGAGCCGGGGCCCTGGTGACACCCATGCCCCACACTGCCTGAGCTGTGTTTCTGGTCCTGGGTCCATGCAGCTCCCACCCCGTCCCCAAAGCTCTCCCACATGAGCAGGCTCTAAGCAGAGCAAGGGGGCAGTGCTAGGAGTCCTGGGCTGGCCCTGAGTCCTGCTGTCTCCCCTCCAAAGGGAATATAGAAGGGGATCCGGGGCCCAGACGCCCAGACAGTGCTGGCCTTGCTTCCCTGCAGACATCCTGCAGGAAATCCTGCTCAAGGAACAGGAGCTACTCCAGCCAGGGATCCTGGGAGATGATGAAGAGGAGGAAGAGGAGGAGGAGGAGGTGGAGGAGGACTTGGAAACTGACGGGCACTGTGCCGAGAGAGATTCCCTGCTCTCCACCAGCTCTTTGGCGTCCCATGACTCCACCTTGTCCCTTGCATCCTCCCAGGCCTCGGGGCCGGCCCTCTCGCGCCATCTGCTGACTTCCTTTGTCTCAGGCCTCTCTGATGGCATGGACAGCGGCTACGTGGAGGACAGCGAGGAGAGCTCCTCCGAGTGGCCTTGGAGGCGTGGCAGCCAGGAACGCCGAGGCCACCGCAGGCCTGGGCAGAAGTTCATCAGGATCTATAAACTCTTCAAGAGCACCAGCCAGCTGGTACTGCGGAGGGACTCTCGGAGCCTGGAGGGCAGCTCGGACACGGCCCTGCCCCTGAGGCGGGCAGGGAGCCTCTGCAGCCCCCTGGACGAACCAGTATCACCCCCTTCCCGGGCCCAGCGCTCCCGCTCCCTGCCCCAGCCCAAACTCGGTACCCAGCTGCCCAGCTGGCTTCTGGCCCCTGCTTCACGCCCCCAGCGCCGCCGCCCCTTCCTGAGTGGAGATGAGGATCCCAAGGCTTCCACGCTACGTGTTGTGGTCTTTGGCTCCGATCGGATTTCAGGGAAGGTGGCTCGGGCGTACAGCAACCTTCGGTAAGAGCCGTAATGCGGAGCATCCCTCTGCCCTGGGTAACAGGGTTGTTGTGCTGGTGGAATCTGGGGCCTGAGGCTTAGGGCCCCAGAGGAACCAAAAGTTCCCTTATTTATTTTTATTTTATTATTATTATTATTATTATTATTATTATTATTATTATTATTATTTTGAGACAGAGTCTTGCTCTGTTGCCCGGGCTGGAGTGCAGTGGCATGATCTCGGCTCACTGCAACCTCTGGCTCTCCAGTTCAAGCGATTCTTGTGCCTCAGCCTCCCGAGTAGCTGGGATTACAGGTGCACACCACCACACCTGACTAATTTTTTTTTTTTTTTTGTCTTAGTAGAGATGGGGTTTCCCTCTGTTGACCAGGCTGGTCTTGAACTCCTGGCCTCGGGTGATCCACCCACCTCAGCCTCCCAAAGTGCTGGGATTACAGGCGTGAGCCACCATGCCCATTCCCCTTCTCACCATCTTCTTCTTGCCAGGCGGCTGGAGAACAATCGCCCACTCCTCACACGGTTCTTCAAACTTCAGTTCTTCTACGTGCCTGTGAAGCGAAGTCATGGGACCAGCCCTGGTGCCTGTCCACCCCCTCGGAGCCAGACGCCCTCACCCCCGACAGACTCCCCTAGGCACGCCAGCCCTGGAGTATGTCCCCAGCCTGGGCCAATGGTCGGGGAAAGTAGAGTTCTGGCTACCTGAAGGAAGCCGATTGGAAGTCATGGAAAGCAAGCACCTGTGTTGACAGGGCACCTCCCCCTGCCTGGCCCTCACTCCCTGCACTTGGACATGACATTTTGCCATATGACAAAGACTGAAAGTTGTCATACTTCCCCAAGGGCAGGGAGAAGCTCAGCATGGGGCTGCAGGTGCCATCCAAGGCCCTGGAGCTAGGATGGGCAGGCCTCCTGGGGAGCTGGGATGATGACTCTTGTTCTTTGCCCTAGGAGCTGGGCACCACCCCATGGGAGGAGAGCACCAATGACATCTCCCACTACCTCGGCATGCTGGACCCCTGGTATGAGCGCAATGTACTGGGCCTCATGCACCTGCCCCCTGAAGTCCTGTGCCAGGTAAGTGGCCCCGTGGTTGCGGAACAGGGTCCACTGGCTGCAGTCACCCAGCCTCACTTAGAAGGCCCTGGATTTAGGGAATCAGGCTTGAGGCCCCCATGGAGGACCTGGGCCCTCTTGGAAAAGATCAGGGAGTGTGGGTGAGAAGCAGGACTGAGCCTGAACTCAGGACACTGAGTGTGAGAGCTGGGGTCACTGCAGTGATGGAGGAGGGCCCTCAGAAGGGTCCGGGGGACCTCAGATTTCAGCCCCCTTCCTCAACTCCCGCCTTTGTCTGGCTAAGCCAGAAGCCTCCCTGGAGGCCAGTGGGTCAGGTGAGGGGCATGGAGGCTGGGCACCGGCCCTCCCCTGCTTCCTGCTTCCACCTCACCAGCTCCCCCTGACTGGCTGCCTCTATGTCTCTCTTCTCTCTTCCTCCCTAATTCTTGCTCCTTCTTACCATCTATCCACCCACCCATCTGGCTTGGCTGCCCCTTCCCTCTGGCCACAGCAGTCCCTGAAGGCTGAAGCCCAGGCCCTGGAGGGCTCCCCAACCCAGCTGCCCATCCTGGCTGACATGCTACTCTACTACTGCCGCTTTGCCGCCAGACCGGTGCTGCTGCAAGTCTATCAGACCGAGGTAAGGCCTCCCTGCCCCGAACCGCCTCTTCCCCACCTGCCGGGCCTGCAAGGCCCCACCCCTGCCCCGGGAGAGCCAGCAGGTCTATGCTGGAGGAGCCAAATGGGCCCCTCCAGGAGGTTCACACTGATGTACATGCTCCTGCCCTCTCCAGCTGACCTTCATCACTGGGGAGAAGACGACAGAGATCTTCATCCACTCCTTGGAGCTGGGTCACTCCGCTGCCACACGTGCCATCAAGGCGTCAGGTGGGTACTGCCTGAGCAGAGACAGACGGTGAGGCGGGGCCTGGGACGCGAAACGTGGAGCTCTGTGGAGGTGGGGTTACCTGGGAGGTGGGGCCATGGGAAGGTGGGGTTGCACAGGAGGTAGGCCCCTGGGGAGACGGGGTTACCGGGAGGTGGGGCCATGGGGTGGCTGGGTGACCCGGTAGGCGGGGCCCTGGGGAGGCAGGGATACGGGAGGTGGGGCCACGGGAAGGTAGGGTTACCCAGGAGGCAGGGCCATGAGAGGGCGGGGTTACCTAGGAGGCAGGGCCATGGGGAGGCGGGGTTGTCCGGTAGGTGGGGCCTTGGGGAGGCAGGGTTACCGGGAGGCAGGGCCATGGGGAGGCGGAGTTACCCAGGAGGCGGGGCCCTGGGGAGGCGGGGTTACCCAGGAGGTGGGGCCATGGGAGGGCGGGGTTACCCAGGAGGCGGGGCCATGGGAGGGCGGGGTTACCCAGGAGGTGGGGCCATGGGAGGGCGGGGTTACCCAGGAGGTGGGGCCATGGGAGGGCGGGGTTACCTAGGAGGCAGGGCCATGGGGAGGCGGGGCCCTGGGGAGGCGGGGTTACCCAGGAGGTGGGGCCATGGGGGGGCGGGGTTACCTAGGAGGCAGGGCCATGGGGAGGCGGGGTTGTCCGGTAGGTGGGGCCTTGGGGAGGCAGGGTTACCGGGAGGCAGGGCCATGGGAAGATGGAGTTACCCAGGAGGCGGGGCCCTGGGGAGGCGGGGTTACCCAGGAGGTGGGGCCATGGGAGGGCGGGGTTACCCAGGAGGCGAGGCCATGGGGAGGCGGGGTTGCCTGGTAGGTGGGGCCCTGGGGAGGCAGGGGTACCGGGAGGCAGGGCCATGGGAAGGTGGAGTTACCCACGAGGCAGGGCCCTGGGGAGGCGGTGTTACCCAGGAGGCAAGGCCATGGGGAGGCGGGGTTGCCTGGAAGGCAGGGCCCTGGGGAGGCACGGTTACCGGGAGGCAGGACCATGGGAAGGGGGGTTACATGGGAGGTCGGGCCAGGTGGAGGCAGGCTTACCCAGCAGGTGGGCCCTGGGGAGGCAGGGTTACCCAGGAGGTGGGGCCCTGGAGAGGCAGGACCCTGGGAAGGTGTGATCACAGCGGAGATGGGGCCCTGGAGAGGCAGGACCCTGGGAAGGTGTGATCACAGCGGAGATGGGGCCCTGGAGAGGCAGGACCCTGGGAATGTGTGATCACAGCGGAGATGGGCCCTGGAGTGATGGGGTCACTGAGGAGGTGGAGATCCCCAGAACGTGGAGCCAGAGAGAGAGGCAGGGCCTTGGTGAGACAGATCCCTAGGGAGTCACGGTCCATGTGGTAGGGGATGGGGAGGTAAGGCCCAGGGAGGCAAGGCCACTGCGTTCGTGAGGAGCCGGGGAAGCCAGGGGTAGTGAAGGGTCTGTCTGTGTGTGGCACAGGTCCTGGCAGCAAGCGGCTGGGCATCGATGGCGACCGGGAGGCTGTTCCTCTAACACTACAGATTATTTACAGCAAGGTAAGACCCGTGCTGGGGCTCCTTCCCCTCCAGGATCTGCTGCTGATACTTCCTCCGCCAGAGCTTGGACCCAGAGCTGGACTCGTGTGTTCCTGGGCCCCAGTCTTTACGCTGGAAGGCTGCAGCAGGCTCCCCTGGATGCTGAGAGAAGCAGAGAAGGGAAGGAGTGGATATCTCTGTGCTTCTTGGCCTCCAAAGCCTCTCTCCCACCATGTTCTCTGCCCCCACCCGAATGCGCTCAGCAGCAGCCCAGGGGTAGGGGTCTGCTGGGCCTGGCTACAGGGCTGGGGCTGAAAGGGGGAAAGGGAAGCCTTCCAGAGGCACCTCAGGGAGAAGCCAGGGTCTCGGGGGGCCAGTGTGCCTGGCAGGCTGCATGCAAGATGGGATTGGCGTGAGAAAGGAGTGAGGAGAGCTGTGGGGAGGTGGAGGGCTGTCCATGACATGCCAGAAGACATGAGTTCTCTGAGCAGGTCGCATCCCAAGGTCCAGGCTGAGGGAAGCTTGGCCTCACAGGTGGGCTTCTTCCTTCGGCCATTCCAAAGATATCCTCTTAGCACCTGCCCATGCTGCCTCTGTGCTGGGCAGGGGAAAAGAGGGGTTGAGCAGGGAAGCCTAGGCCTCACTTTAGCTTGTCTAGAGGAGGGAGACAGACAAGAAACGAGGAAACAAAGAAATAGCCAAGATAATTCCAGAGAGCGGCAAGTGATGACAAAGCAATAAAACAGCAGATGGACGGTGGTGTTGGGGCTGCAGTGCGTTTGGCAGTGAAGGAGGTGGGCAGGAGGCACCGACACTCACTGTAGCCACATGCCAGGTGCTTGCTAGACGTCTTCCACAGCCCAGGCACTGTTCTAGGCCCTGGAGCCTTCCTAAGAGTGAACAAAGGACAGACGTGGTCCCAGGAGACCTGCTGGCCCCCTGGAGTGGGTGGTAGGCATTGGTTCGATGATGCACACGATGTAAAATTACAACTGTGACACATGGATGAGGAGAGGGACACGGGATGTTCCTAAGTGGCAAACCGAACCCAGTCAGGAGAGTTAGTAGTGAAGGCTTCCTTGAGAAGGCACCTGAGTTAATATTGGAGGGAAAACCAGGAATTAATTAGGCTGAGAAGAGAGGTGAGTGCTCTCACAGCAGCAGAAACTGCATGTGCAAAGGCCCTGTGGTGGGAGGCAGTGTGAACACCTTGAAGCACTCTGAAAGAAGACCCCCAGGCTGGAGCAGAGACAGCTGGTGGGAACATGATGCTGAGGTGAGGCTAAAGAAATGGGGGACCAGCATACCAAGAGCCTTAATTGCAATGAAAGGAGTTTTGTGGTTTTTTGTTTGTTTTTTTGAGACATAGTCTCGCCCTGTTTCTCAGGCTAGAGTGCAATGGCTCAATCTTGGCTCACTGCAACATCCGCCTCCCTGGTTCAAGCAATTCTCCTGCCTCAGCCTCCTGAGTAGCTGGGTAGCAGGTGCCCGCCACCACACCCGGCTAATTTTTTGTATCTTTAGTAGAGACGGGGTTTCACCACGTTGGCCAGGCTGGTCTCGAACTCCTGACCTCATGATCCACCTGCCTTGGCTTCCCAAAGTGCTGGGGTTACAGGCATGAGCCACCACGCCCGACCCAATGAAAGGAATTTTATCCTAGTCCTAAGAGCAGTGGATATCCATTAAGGGGGCTTATGTTTGTGGTGGGGCTGGGAATGCCTGTGACATGATTATATCTGAGGCTTGGAAGCTCCCTCTGGCAGCTCTGTGGAGGACAGATAGGAAGGGTCCACAAGTGATGCAGGAAGGCCAGTTAGGAGGCTGTTGCCATGGTCCAGAAGAGAAATTAGGGCAGCAGCCTGCACTAGGGTAGTGGTGGCAGAGCTGGAAAGGAATGGGAGACAGATGTGAGTGATGTAATCAGCAGGGCCCATGGATGGGTTAGGAAAGGAGAGGCCAGACTCCTGGAGTCACTCCTCTGTGACTGGCAGCACCATCTTCTCTGGGGGGACCACAGGAAGAGGCCGGGGTCCAGTTGGGGAAGAGCTTGAGTTTGGGTCGGGACATATTATTGAGGTTGAGAGGCCTTGAGAGGTATAAGGAGACAGTGAGAATAGACGGCTGGCTGAACGGGCCTGACTTTGTGGTGAATATGAAGATGGGTGGACAGCTGCTAATGGAAAAAGGTCACGGAGGAGACTCCTGAAGGGGGGAAGCAGGGAATACAAAGAGCAGAGGACCAAGGGGAGAACCTTGAGCCCTTCATGATGTAATGGCGGGCAGAGGGCAGCGATCCAGCAAAGCAGAGAGGCACCAGCCAGAGAGGCGCTAGAAAAACCAGGAAGGTGCCATCACGAAAGCCCAGGAGAGGTTTTCAAGGAGGGGAGAGCAGTGAACTGTAAGGTCAAGTAAGCTGAGGACCAAGAAGTGTTCTTCGGTTTAACAACATGGAGGTCCCTGATGACAGAGACATTCACACAAAGACTTGAAGAGGGGGTTCAGGTCTGGCTCTGCCAGAAACAGCATGTCTGTGGGCCCAACCCTTCTTCACTCTGGGCCCGGCAGGAGAGCTTCAGGACCACCCCTGCAGGTGCTCTCAGCTCTTGTACCTTTCAACCTGGTCACAGAGGCTGCTGACCCCTAGACCAAGCCAGTGACGTGAGCTCTTCCCTGGAGTCATCCAGGTCTATCCAGGGTGGTACAGGGGCCCTGGTGAATAAGAGAGGGCTTTCTGGGGATATGCTAACTAGAGGCAACCCCCTGTCACTGATGGGCCTTCAAAGAGAAGGCAGCAGGCACCGGGGCCTCTGGACTCAGAGGGTCTGGCTACACTGCATTTCCAGGGGGCCATCAGTGGACGAAGTCGCTGGAGCAACCTGGAGAAGGTCTGTACCTCCGTGAACCTCAACAAGGCCTGCCGGAAGCAGGAGGAGCTGGGTGAGTGGGGTGGTCAGTGTGGGGTGTGCAGTAGGGAGGTGCTCTGAGCCTGGCCTGAGTGTCCTTGCCCCTCAGATTCCAGCATGGAGGCCCTGACGCTAAACCTGACAGAAGTGGTGAAAAGGCAGAACTCCAAATCCAAGAAGGGCTTTAACCAGGTACGGGCTTCCCTCTCCTTCCAGCCATACCCTCAAGAGACTTACTGGAGCGTGCATGTGCGTATGTGTGTACGTGTGTGTGCACATGTATGTGTGTGCATGTGTGCACATACACACCCGTGTGTACATACTTGTGTGTGTGTGAGAGAGAGAGGAGAGGTGGGGGAGGAGAGGCAGGGTGAGGGGTATGATTTGGGGATGCACACAGGTGTGGAGTGTTGCGGGGTGTCGGGGAGGTAGGGGTGCCCTGTGAGAGGACGCGTGTATGTGGAAAAGTTGTGGGGTGGGTGCCAGGAGAGTCCTAAGACTCTGAGACCAAAGAAAGCAGGCTCTGGATCAGGGGACCTGGGGCTGCTCCGGTGAGGGCAGCAGGCAGGGCAATGTCTCCTCAGGGGGCACTTGCTTCTTCCAGATGCTGGAGAGGAGGCAGGGGCTGATGGAGGCCTCAGGCTCCCTCCTGTGACCTGGCCATTAACCCTGGAGCGCAGTCAGACAAACCCCTGCCCTCCCACACCCCTAGAAGTGGATGGGCAGTTCTGAGAAAAGGAACTGCCAGGGGCTGGCAGTGTTGGATGGCCAGGGATTTGGGGCTGACCTGGGCCTTCCTTCCAGATTAGCACATCGCAGATCAAAGTGGACAAGGTGCAGATCATCGGCTCCAACAGCTGCCCCTTTGCTGTGTGCCTGGACCAGGATGAGAGAAAGATCCTGCAGAGTGTAGTCAGGTAGGAAAGGGGGGTCCTAGGGAGGGGAGCAGTTTCTGCTCCCACCAACCCAGAGGCCTGGAAGGAGCTGGAAGGATGGGGGCCTGCTCTGATCCCTGGCCCCTGCCCTGCTGCACAGATGTGAGGTCTCACCGTGCTACAAGCCAGAGAAGAGCGACCTCTCCTCACCACCCCAGACGCCTCCTGACCTGCCGGCCCAGGCCGCACCTGATCTCTGCTCCCTTCTCTGCCTGCCCATCATGACTTTCAGTGGAGCTCTGCCCTAGTGTGGGCCCAGCGCCAGACTGGACAGAAGCCCTGGGGCAACCTCCTCGGCCACCCCTCCAGGACAGTCCCTCTCTGTGGAGAACTGAATGGCCCTGTGCAGAGCCATAGTCCCACTGTGGGTCCTGCAATGAGCAGGGGCTGGGAGTAGAGGGTTTCTGGGGCCTCAGGGTTCTGGGAAAGCAACAGCTATCAGAGAGAGAAGGGCCAGACCCCATAGCCTCTTAGATTCCTGGCAGTAGAAGGAGAAGGATGGGTAAATTGACCTCTGAAGTCCCTGACCATTAGCATGGTCTAGGATCCTTTCTAGAAGGAAGATCTGAGGCTCTGGTGCTCAGGGGGATGGCTTGGGCCTTTTCTCTCAACCTTGGCTGAGCCTACCCCTTACTTTGCCAAAGACTTGAGGACCCTGTATGTCTGGAGTTCAGTCCCCTCCTCTGTGGGGCTCAGGTGATTGAAATGTGGATGAAACATTTCTCTACTTCAAGACCACCTCTCCCTGCAAACACCACACACACATGGCATGCATGTACGCACATGCGCACACACACACGCACACACCTCAATAATTTCTCTCAAGTTTCCTGAGTCTCCAGAAAAACAGCACTAACGCTGGACCTGTCTACTCTCAGAACCCGGCACAGATTCTCTCTTGATCTCCTTTTGGAATCTGAGATTCTTAGAAGACAGGATAGGGTTAAATTTAGTAGCAGCTCAGTTCTAGCTAAATCACTAGAGGAAGTTAATTAACTTTAAGCCTTCATTTCTCCAGCACTAAAATGGAGTGGAGAGTTGGGGTGGAAATAAGACATCCTTAAAAGGTTAAATTGTCTGCAAAGCACCTAGCCCAGTGCCGAGCTCCCAGTAGGTGTTCAGTAAAGCTTAGTGCCTGACTTTCTGAACACTGATTCCTCCTGTTTGGAGTCACTGGGATACTCTCATTGCCGTTGGGATGTTCCTCACTCCTTCCCAGTTCGTGGCTGAGGCAGAACCCAGACTGAAGAGGGAAGAGACATTCCAGAGGAGGATTGCCTTCGTCAGGGTAAGGGGTGGGCTGCTCAGGGGCCCTACCCTTCACCCCCTTCTGTATCAGATTGGCCCTCCCACTCCCATCTCACTCTGCGTGTACAATCTTCCATATCCGCAAGTTCACTGGCACTCTTCTGGCACCTGGGCAAGATCCCAGAACAGAGGATGGAGTGACTGGCCTCACAGAGCTTAGTGCCCGACTCAGGGGAAATGGGACTGGTGCATGGGAAATGGTCAGCCTAGGATAGGACACGAGAGTCTGAAATTCAAAGCAACCAGCTTGAAGTGGTTTGAGAAGCTGGAAGCAAACATGGGCTAGAGAGATAGGGCAGAAGTCAAGACGAGGATCTGGACTGATGTGGAGAAAGTAGCCACGGAAGCATGAACTGTATCCTGCACAAAGTCCCTCTTCCCCGCCTCCTAATTCATTATGCCCAAAAGGCCTTACGTGAAATTCCAGCCCAGAGTACTCATGACTTGAGAGACGTGGACAGAGCCAGCTTCTACCTTGCCTGGCCGTCTCTCCCCTGTCTTAATGTCTGCTCTTGCTCTAAGCTCCAGAAGAGTGGCGGGCCATGTATCTTCAATATGTTTTTGCTGTATGGGCAGGTTGTCTTATTATGTGATCAACAGATGTCCAGGAACTAATGAGTGGAATTTAATATTATTGTCAAATAAAACTTGATTTGTCCTATATTTAATGACCAGTAGTTACTTTGCTGCATGACCCTGCTAGTTGGACAGTTTATATAAATCATTTTATTTATACCAGAAAGAAGCTTCATAGGGGATTGTTTTATTTCTCTTTTTGTAATTTTCCACCCTATAGAAAATATATTTGGGTGAAAATTTTCCCCAATACTGTTCTGCTTAAGCCTCATCATACTCACTGACCCACAGAACAAAAATTCCTACACCTAAGGACTCAGCATTTGGGGTTTCCTGTGCTACTTCACTTGAGAAATATATACCCATATATCCATCTGTTTCCTGTACCCCAAGCTCCAGGGAGGGGACGGGCCTGAGGCCGTTGCTGCGGATGGGTGGCACAGTGGATCCTGGACCTACCATGCAGCTGAGAGGAGGGGAAGAGAGCTCAATAATGGCCCTTTGGATCTGGGACTGCCTTTAGACTTGGGTGATAAGGAAAGAGAGAAGAAGAAGTGGAGGGATGGTAGAGGACACCTGTGGCTTGGGAGAGGGAGGTAAGTACCAGGTTGCCAGAACACTATTCAGGATGGAGGGAGAAAGAACTGTGAGCTGTTCCAGCTCTGCATCAGCTGGCTATTGCAAACAATGAAGCATACCTTCAATTCAGGGAACTAAGTCTCCGATCATTTGTTCTTGCTCATGCATCTGGAGGACATCTAGGGACCACCTGATCTAGGCTGGGCTCAGAGTGGCTTGGCTCCAAGCTGCAGGATGGGTGCAGATCTGCTTCGTTGGTCTTTCAGACACATTGGACCAGCATGAGAGGCAAGCAGAGACACGCGATGCCTCCTAGGAATGGAACCTGGAACAAGAACAATATTCCTTCTGCCAATAATTGGCTAACACTGATGAAGCACATCAACCCACAGACTTAATAAACCCAGCAAATTTTGCACAGGAATTTTGACACAGGAATCTCCACACAAGAAAAAAACAAAATCACATGAGAAGTGCACTTTACCTTTGATGTTCTTTCCATAACTCCAGTCTAATCAAGAGTAAAAAAGATCATATAAACCCAGACTATGGGACCAGATAACCTGACCAGTACTCTCTTACTGTCACAAAAAATAAGGAAAGACTGAGAAACAAAAAGAGATGGAGTAAACCTGAAAAATAAGCAGTAGACACTGGCTTGTATCCTGAAACATTAATCCAAAAACTGGTAAAATCCCAATACAATCTGGAGTTCAGTTTTTTCTTAAACACACACACACACATACACACACACACACACACCCCTTACTGTCAAACTTCTAAAGAAAAAAAGGTAATAAGAAAATACTAAAGACAGAGGAAAATAATACACTTTATCTTCAAAGTAGCAACAATTAAACTGAGAACTCTCTCTTTCAATAGAAACAATGGAAGCCAGAGATGATGAAATGATATCTTTAAAGTATGAGGGGAAAAAACAAACCTACTAACCTGGAATCACACACCCAGAATTGTCTGATAATACTTTTTTAAAAAAAACTTATAAACTGCAGCGGTCGGGCGCAGTGGCTCACACCTGTAATCCCAGCACTTTGGGAGGCCGAGGCAGGCAGATTACGAGTTCAGGAGATCGAGACCATCCTGGGTAACACGGTGAAACCCCGTTTCTACTAAAAATACAAAAAATTAGCCGGGTGCGGTGGCGGGCACCTGTAGTCCCAGCTACTCAGGAGGCTGAGGCAGGAGAATGGCCTGAACCCGGGAGGCGGAGCTTGCAGTGAGCCGAGATCGCACCACTGCACTCCAGCCTGGGTGACAGAGCGAGACTCCATCTCAAAAACAAAACAAAACAAAACAAAAAACTTATAAACTGCTCACAAGGGACACACTTTAAATATAACATCACAGAAAGGTTGAAAGCAAAAGGATGGAAAGAATCACACCATGCAAAACCAACCAGATCAAAAAAGCTGGTGTTAACACACTAATATCCAAAGATGCAAAACCGGACCAAAAAAGCTGGTGTCAATACACTAATATCCAAAGATTTAACAGCAGAAGCATTACAAAAAATAAAGAGGAACATTTCATAAAGATTAAGGAGTCCAACAAAAGGTATTACAGTTATAAAGCTATATACACCAAATAACAACTGAAAATTATATATAAATATAAATACATGTCACTATATAAATATAAACTGTATATAAATATAAATATAAAACAAAAATGGACAGAACTAGAAGTCTCCACAACCACAGTGGTCAACATATCTCTCCCAATAGCTGATAGAACACATAGACAAAAAATTTTAATAGAGATATACAAGATCTGGACAACACAATTAACAAATTTGATGTTACTGAAATTGATAGAACATTGTGGCCCATTCTCAGCTCACTGCAAACTCCGCCTCCCGGGTTCAAAGGATTCTCCTGCCTCAGCCTCCCAAGTAGCTGGGACTACAGGCGCATGCCACCACACCCAGCTAATTTTTTTTATTTTTTTAGTAGAGACAGGGTTTCACCATGTTGTCCAGGCTGGTCTCGAACTCCTGACCTCAGGTGATCCACCCACCTCGGCCTCCCAAAGTGCTGGGATTACATGCATGAGCCACCACGCCCAGACAGAAGATTCTTTAAACCATACTTCACAAAAATCACTGGCTGACCTAAGAATGGATCCCCTATTGGTCAGACACATACCCTGGATACTATCACCATGAGCTGTAGGCGAATCCATGGGCCAAGTGGTTATAGGCTAAAGGGGCTCTGAGCCAGAATGTCTCATCCAGTCCATGAGCTTTTGTAATCCGAGTCATTGAACACTGAGGAAAGGGGCCGAGGTAGGGGACTGAAACTAGAATCCCCATTGGGTCCTGCTGTTGGCAGATGAAGAGAAAGGAGGAGGCTGTCCTTTTCAGCACCCCATCCTCCTCCTCAAGGTGGCCCCTCCTCCGCATGGTACCTCACCAAGAGCTCAGGAGCTGGCCATAAACTTGCAGACTCTCACCTCCCACTACTCACAGCAGAATTACTTCTGCCCTAGGCATGTTGACCTCCTGGTCTTGCCATCCCTGGAATGGGTATATTTCTCCAACTTTGGGAGGAGATAGGTGTCTCCTTTTGCCACTTCCTGCTTCCTAGAAGGCTGGGCAGGCCTCAGTTAGGGGACCAAAATCAAGCTGTGCACTGCGGGTCTCAGGGTTTGGGACCGTAGAAGGGAGCGCTCTCTTGGCCCCCAGTTCCATCATTCCTTCCTGCACCTGGCAGAACCCCTGTGGCCTTACATTTCCTCTGCTCCCTTTGTCGGATACGGCACTCTCTCAGGCTAAACCTCGGATCACAGGGAGGCCAGGGAGGAGCAGGAACGTTCACCCTTGGAGTGACCCTGGCCGCCTCCCGATGTCTCCAAGCCTCGCTTCCTTGCCTGTGAAAATGACACAGTGTCTACTTTCCGGGGAGTGTGTAGGGCTCATCAGGGGACGCAATGTGAAAGGGGATGGTGCTGCTGAGACTGTAGTCCAGGTAGCCTACCGGGCCTCAGGTGTAATGCTCAACCTTGTTTTTACTAACCCTGTTTTTAGACTCTCCCTCTTTCCTTTAATCACCTAGCCTTGGTTCCACCTGAATTGACTCTCCCTTAGGTAAGAGAGCCAGACAGACTCCATCTTGGCTCTTTCACTGGCAGCCCCTTCTTCGAGGACTTAACTTGTGCAAGCTGACTCCCAGCACATCCAAAAATGCAATTAACTGATAAGATACTGTGGCGAGTGATATCCGCAGTTCCCAGGAATTCGTCCGATTGATAACGCCCAAAGCCCCGCGTCTATCACCTTGTAATAGTCTTAAAGCCCCTGCACCTGGAACTGTTTACTTTCCTGTAACCATTTATCCTTTTAACTTTTTGCCTACTTTATTTCTGTAAAATTGTTTTAACTAGATCCCCCTCCCCTTTCTAAACCAAAGTATAAAAGAAAATCTAGCCCCTTCTTCGGGGCCAAGAGAATTTTGAGCGTTAGCCGTCTCTTGACCACCGGCTAAATAAACGGACTCTATTTTTTTTAAATAAATGAAGCCTATTTTATTACTTCAAGTGTTAATGATAAAAAAAATTTCAGCACAGCTGTTGCATTTTAAAAAGTGAAACTACATACTATGTTTCTAGCTCAGTAAACAGATGAACCTGATGTCTTTAAATGACATAACAATTGAGCATTGTACAGTACATCTTATGAAGACCCGTAAATTAAAGAACTACTGGTAATAATCACTAACTATAAACAGACTCTTAATTCATCTCAAAGTGTGGCGTTTTCTCTAACTCGCTCAGGTACAACACAGGGCTCCCTGTGAGCAGAAGCCTTACCGAGAGGGGGCTCCTCCAGACACAATGGCTTACACCTCTTTGTTCTCCTCAGGTAGCTGGGAGCTTCTTCTAGGGGCCGGAAGGTAGTGGTCTATCACCATCTTCAGACCTCTCCTTGAAGTCCCTGGCATCCCAGTCATGCCTCCCCCCGGGGAAAGGGCTCTCCCACAGCCTCCAGGGCAAGAAGCCCGCAGCCCCCTGTCTGCCCAAAGCAGAAGCAGCACAGTTTTCAGCCCCTGCGGCTCCAGGCACACCCGAGATGCTGTGTGGACCCAGCCAGCCTGGTGCCTGCCCTGGGCCTTCAGACTGCCCCTCCCGCATTGCCACACTGCCACCCACTCCAGCACCGGTAATGTTCACAGCTTCCCTGGGGAAAGGGCTCCCCCATTTTCTTGAGGAAGAATCCACTTCCTCCTTTCCCCAAGTCTCTGAATCCTTCTCTTTCTTCCCCCAACCATACCAGTAAAATCAGGGTAAAGGAAATGCCTCCTGGGAGAGGGTGCCATCCCCCATCCCTCTGGGGGCAAAGTGAGGCAGGTGGCAGACTCTGTCCCCAGGCGTGCCAGCTTGTTTCTCTCTGTTCTGTGCTCAGGCACACCTATGTCCCGGCTCGGACCACAGCCCCGGAGACTCTGAGTGTGGGCTCCCTGGAGACATGGCTGTGGTCACAGCAGGTACGTGTGTCTGCCACTCTTTGCACGGGGGGAGTGGGAAGAAATGGCGCTTGTTCGAAGGATCTCAGATATTTCCAGCTCAAAGGTGCAGCGTCTCAGTCATTGCAACCTGCACAGAGAATCACCTGTGAATGTCTGCGTCGAGTGAACTGACCTCTCAGCAAACACTTTCAGCACTTACTGAGCACGTGTCAGGCGCTGCTCTGTGTGCTTTACATGCTTACGTTAACTCATTTGTGCCACAGCCCCATGAGGTAGGTACAATTATGCTCCCTTTTACAGGCAGGGAAACTGAGGCAGAGACAAGTAACTTGTCCAAGCTCACAGAGACAGTAAAAAGGGGAATCCAGGATTTAAGCACAGACAGGTGGGGTCCAGAGTCCCTGCGCTTAACCACTAATCTCTGCTGCTCTCTGGAACCTCTCGTGTGGGTGGTGGGTAAGCTGAGGCCATGAAAAGGATCACACAGATGTCTGAGAAGAATGGCTTCGTTTCTAATGGAACGCTGGAGACGCTCTGATAGCTTCAAAATAGAAGCTGTGTTCACACACCCTCAGGAATGGTGGGAGTGGCAGGGGTGGAAAAGTTGGAGGGGGCATAGAGGAGGAGAGGAAGCTGGGGCCAGACTGGGTTGGCGGGACTCCAGGCTGGTCTGCGCGGACCACTGCTAAGGGGAGGGCAGTCAGGAAGGAAGCCCTCGGTGAATGGTGAATGTCGCTCCTGGCTCCAGAGCAGACTGAAGGGGGTCCCCCGAGACCTCTGGGGAAGAGGAGGGAGGGAGCAGAGCGGCCCCCACCCCCACACACCCAAGGAAGGGGCCCTTGCAACCAGGGACCAGAGGCCTTCTCTGAGCAAAACTGTAGCCGAAAGTCTCTGAGGCCAGAACAGAATCGTTTTGGGGCTGAGAAAGCTGAGGAGGGCTTTGCAAACCCAATCTGCAGCCCCTCAGGTTACAGAGGAGGAAACTGAGGCCCAGAGACTGGGAGAGGCCTGCACAGGGTCACACAGAGTGAGAGGCACGTGCCAGGATGAGGGCCCAGCCAGGTAGCCTGGCTTACTTTTGGGGGTGTAGCTCAGTGTGTGCATGCGTGCGTGTGTGTGTGTGTGTGTGTGTGTGCGTGTGCACATGAGTGGGTGTGTGGTCCTGCACATGTTTGGAGGGCAGGCAATTTGCATAAATAATGCAAGTTGGGGTCTTTGCGTTTTCTCACTGATTTCCTGGTTGACCCCAGCCATCTTGATTTGTTCCACTTCCTGGTGTGAGTTCATTTGGAAAAAGAAAATGGAGAGGGTGATATGCATATCATGCAGATGAAGAGACTCCTAACACCTCCCCAGCTCAGCTCCACCAGCAAAAGCCTGTCCAAGGAGGAACCTGCGGTATTAGGGGCAGAGGGAGAGGAAGCAGGGGTCCACTTGGTCTCCCTCTCAAGGCAGCCATGAGAACAGGGGAAATGAGAAGAGACCAGGCCCCGCCCTCCACAGCAACCCCAAAGTGTCTGCCCTCTCACCTCATCACAGAGCTGCCAGTACCAAGGAGTTTGGGAGAGGGGACAGTTGCACCCGCAAAAGAGAAGGAGGAGGTCACAAGGTTTTCTTCACCTGAAGGGCAGCTTTCGGAAGAGGGAGTGACTGATCTTCTCTGTGTCCTTCCCATTTCGAACCCTGTAAATGTGTAACTAGTCCAAACAAACATGTACATTTAAATGTAAGAAAAGAATGTGGTTGATCCTTATGTACCAATATATCGTGATCTTCAAGTAAACAAAGCAAGTTAAAGAGCGATTTGTATGGTGCTCACATGTATAAACTACCCTAAGCTATTTACCATGGTTATCACTGGGTGGGAGGGTAAAGAAATTGAGGAGGGGGAGGAGAGAGACCCTCCTTTTTTCCTCTTAGGGTCCTACAATGCTTGAGTGTTTTTATAATGGAAATATATTTATGGATTACCTAAGTAGTTTTTGTTCTTCTTGTTGTTGTTTGTTTGTGACGAAGTCTTGCTGTGTCACCCAGGCTGGAGTGCAATGGCACAATCTTGGCTCACTGCAACCTCTGCCTCCCAGGTTTGAGTGATTCTCCTGCCTCAGCCTCCCAAGTAGGTGGGATTACAGGCACCGGCCACCATGCCAGGCTAATTTTTGTATTTTTAGTAGAGACGAGGTTTCACCACATTGGCCAGGCTGGTCTCGAACTCCTGACCTCAGGTGATCCACCTGCCTCGGCCTCCCAGAGTGCTGGGATTACAGGCATGAGCCATCGTGCCTGGCCTACTTGACTAGTTTTTTAAACATTACAGCTTAACAAAAAAAGAACATTGATGGCATTTAAAATAAAAACTTCCCCACCACCACCAAAAATAAGAAAAATAGCTGAGAAGGTGACTGGTTGGATATGAAGCATAAATCCGCTTCTTCTATCACCCCAATTAGTCCTGATTCTGCATGCACTCTGCCAAATAACGCTGCTGGAAGTAAAGGATGGAAAATTCCCGAGGTGTGCACTGTTCCTCCCTTTCCACAGCCACAGCAGACAGTACTAGTTGATAACGGATTTCCAGGGCAATGCTGATGCTGCCAGTCCAGGGACTACCCTTAGCGAACCAGTGGCTTAGAGCATGACGCTGTCCTGCCTGCCTCTGGGCCGTGGGCAAGAGCTGGAGGGACTGCACCAGAGGCAAAGGTGCCCCGCAGTTGGGTACTGCCTGTGCCGAGGCAGTGTGTCGAGTCTCACCTCCACCAGGGATGAGAGCGTTTAAACTTAACCTATCTGTGTAACTGTAGCTGACTCACGAGGTGATTGTTTAAACGAATCAAAATGTGTTTTCCTAACAGCTCTTTTCTGGTTTATTACCTCTCACGGTTTTCTAAAAATGGGTCCTGCCAACCAGAGAGCTATCTGTGTGGGTGGCAGTCATGAATTTGGGGTAGAAAAGTGGGGAGTTGAGAATTAGAATGGAATTACAGTGCTCTGAATGGGCTTCGAAGACAATTTGGATATGTCTGTGAAAAAAATCTAGGAGGGAGGAACCGACGCTAATGAGTCAGGGTCACATGGGGAGAAGAGAGACAGGAAAAAGCACAAAAGCCCACCCCATTCCAGGCTGCCCGCTCCAATGGCATGGCATGGAGGAGGGACGTCGGGATCCTCAGAACTATCCACAGAGGATTTTTGAATAGTTTGCCAAGAGACGTGTGATGTACACTCCCTTCATCCTCCTACATAATCTTTAGTAAAATTGACTTTGCTTATTAGTATTTTATGTAAGTGGATTCCTTAGAAAACTGAAATGACAAATTCTGCCGCCTTCGATGCTGAATAATCCCAGAGCAGCTCCCACGGTGGGTGGCACTGCAGGTGAGGACACAAGCGACCCTGGGGACCTCTTTTCCTAAGCATGTAATTCTTGCCTGACTCCAATACTGTGGTCCTGCAGACCTCCGCAATGCTGGTACCTGGCCCTCCTCACCCGTGGCTCTGTCCACAGTTGCAAGAAGATTTAATTTTTGTTTAAAGCTCTCAGTGGCTTTGTAATGGATTAGAAAATGGATGAGGATGGATTGGAAACAGTGGTTCATCTGTAGAGAAGGTAAGTAACTTTGTAACCCCAAGGCGAGTTATGTAAACAGACTTCCAAACACCCTGGCTGAGATAGGAGAACCTGAAGAGAGGCCATTGCAGCTATGCCCAGAAGGGTCACCAGGAGTGGGGACCCTCACTTGGCAGAGGAGGGTGGCAGAAGGAGGAGGAGGAAGGGGAGTGACAATAGATGGTGGGCCTTCTGCTTCTGTATCTTGGGCATTGATCATTCTGGGGGGTCTTTGCCTCCATTAGCTGACCAGGTCATCTGGGAACTAGTACAGTGAAAGCAGGGAACCTTAATTTTTACAGTTCTGATGCTGACGGATCATTTGCCTTTTGGCAGGGAAAGAGGGGGCTGCTCTTTGGAGACTGGTGCAGATGAGAAACCTGGTAAGAGCACAGCCTGGAAAACCCAGATTAAACAAATCCTAAGAACATGGTCTGGAGAGGAAAGACATGGCTGGGATTGGCAAAAGGGGTAGTGCTGCCTTGCCTTGGTGATGGTAGGGACGGTGCACTGGGGTCCGTGGGGGAACTTGGTCCTTCCTATTGTCACCTCCTCCTCCCACTGTCCTTTGTTCCTGGCTGGCGGTCAGCCGTGTGCACTCAAAAATGAAAGCACCCTAGCTCCTCTTTGCAAGGGACAGCTCTGGGGCTCTCTATGGTCACCAAGCTGCCCCCTCTATGGGTACCACAGCAAATGCAGTTGCAGAAATGGCAGCTGATGATAAAGAGAGCAGTGCACCCACAAGAAGTGACCTCGGCTTGTGATTTCCGATTCAGTTAAGCCAAGGCTGATAAGGAGAGGCGCTGCCCAGGGTGGCCACACTGCCCAGCTGCTGCTGAGTCTGGAACCTGCAGGGGCTGAGTTCTTGGTCCTTTATTCTGTCCTGGGCGTATTCGTTTCCTTCGTTCAGTCACCCATTTGCTTCATAAATAAGCCAAGCATTCTCTTAACACTCTTTCACCCTGTGATGGACGGAATAATGAACAACACTCTAGCCCCTGCTCTTTCAGGACTCATTGAGGGAGGAACAAGGCAGACATGTGAGCTGAGAACGCTAATACAAAGATGCAAGATAGAATGTGACTTCAGTCACATGAAGGGGACAGAAAAGAAGCAGTTATGGGAGGAAGGCACAGCAATAGAGTAAATGATTTACATTTCTGGACTTTTTTTCCAAATAGCTTCCTCTGCAAAATGAAAGGTCAGCATAGAACCTAGTCAAGCCCCTACGGGAAAGGATCAGTGACTTCACAGCCCCAAAGCTCTCTGAGTTGAGCCAAGTGACAAACTCCAACAGGCTTAATCCAAAAAAGAATGGAATTTATTGGATCATGTACAATGAACAGTCCAAGAGTAGATTCAGCCCCAGAATTTCAGGCATAGCTGGATCCAGCACTCAAACCCTGCTGTCAGCAATCTGTCACTCTCTAGAGCCATTTACCCATTAGGCCCAACGGGATGACAGCATAGAATCTGTGAGTTTTTCAAAGCTCTAGAAATGTGTCAGAGACTCTCCCAAATAGTGTTTGACTTCAAAATGTGAAAAAAAGAAAATGACAAAGTAGCAAATGTGTCACCATGCGGTTGATCAACTTCCCCCAGCAGGTCTACTGTTCCTGCCCAGCACTGCTCTCTCCTAATTGCCAAGGACAGCAGATGCTTCTTCATTCTCTTCACCTGTGTCCTCTCCACAATCATTGGCGTCGTTGACCATTGTCTCCTCCTTGGCATTCTGTCTTCTGCCAGCATCCCTGGCACTCCACTTTCCTCCTGCCTCTTAGGCTTGTTTTTTTGTTCTTCTCTGATAAATAATGAATGACAAGGGATGAGCCAGGAGAAGGGTTGGGAAGTGATTCCCACAGCCTGGATAGTTAAGAGACTGCAGTACTTCTGGGAGGGGCTGGAGTGAGGGGATAAAGCATGAGGTTGGAGTTTAGGGAGGGACCAGATCAAGAAGGGTCTGGCAAGTCACACTGAGGAGTTTGGCCATTCTCTTTAAAGTAATAAGGAGCCATTGAAGGTTGTAGCAGGAGTGTAACATGAATAGATTTGTGTTTCACTCTTAGAAAGAGACCTTTGGCTGTGGGGTGAAGGACCTCAGGCTATTGTAGTGTTTCAGGAGAAAGACCATGGTAGTCAGGTGAAACAGTGACAGCCATAGGGATGGAAGAAAGTGGAGGATCCATGACCTATTGACAGGGCTTGGTGCAGTTTAGATGTAACAGGCGAGGAAGAGGGAGGCGTTAGGATGATACCGAGGTTGCTGATTCTGAGGCAGGAAACAGAGAAGTGGGCTTAGAGGGAGAAATGATGAGCTCGGTTTGTACCTGTTGAGATGGAGGTGCTTGAGGGACATCTGGCTGGCCATGTCCAGGGGTGGGGGATGGTTGGTGAGTCTGGAGCTTGAGAGAGAGGTCAGGGCTCCCTGCATCAGTCCCTCCCCCGTCAACACCAGAGGGAGTCTCTTGGGAGGTGTCCCCCTCCTGCCCCATAAAATTGGTCACATTCGATCAGAATAAAGGACCTCCAGTGACCGTGGGTCATGCTTCTTTAGAAAGGATCCTCACAGCAAAATGCATTCTGGGAGGAGCTTCGAGGGCCACAAGGAAGGGGAAGGAAGAGGAGGGGACAGAGCTGTGAGACATCGAGCTTTTCTTTGCAGATCTGAAGAGCACAGTCAAGACCACAGACACCCGTGGAGGCTCCCCCAAGACATCTGCTTCTCTGGGACTGGGGACCTCGCTCAGGACCGTGGGGAGTTGGCTGAAGGACTTGGGGAGCCCAGAAGCTGCCACCGAACCAAGGTAAGTGCTGGCTTGGATGGAGATCGCCAGGCAGGCAGATCTGAGCAGAACAGATAGAGGGGTGGAACGGAGGGACCTGGAAGGGGAGCCCCTGGGGGGGCTGAAACACCCCTGGCTCTTATTTATCCAGGCTCAGGGCTGCCAGGGCCGTCTTTCTGAGAAGGGTGACCTCAGACACTGCAGGGTAATTCTGCCAAGTTAAGATTGTTTCAGCCCATTTTCACAAGATGAAAAGACACGGGACCCTGTGAGAAGGACTCTCCTTTCTTCTGGAATCCTGTACATGCTGTTAATAATAGGACTAATGATTGATGCCCGGTGCTGCAGAGTACACCCATTTTCCCATTTGATTCTCACCAGCATTTAGAGGTTGACTGGATAAGTGTTTTAGTGCCATTTTATAGAACAGAAGACTGAGGCTTAGGGAGATGAAGCAACTTGCCAAAGATTGCAGAGTGGGTTAGCAAGGAGCAGGACTCAGTGTGAAACATCTGGGTCCCAGTCTGTGCCCTTTCTGGGACATCATCTGCCCATCACTTTCCTGGGGAATTTGGTGAAAGTCATGCTGGTCTGGCTGATTCTCTTCCTATACACAAATCCAGTATCTTCTATGTGTGCCAGAGTCTGACCGAGGCCTGGTCTCTGTCCTTGAAGGGCTGACTGCTTGCAAAGAGGGTCTGAACACAGCTGCGAGTGACCAACTCAGAACCTTCAGGGTCCTCAGCGAGCCAGGAGGTGTGTGGTGTGTGCAGGATGAAAGAGACTGCAGGGTGCGGGCTCAGGGAGGGTCCCGTGGAAGGTGGTGCCTGGCTGAGGCTCAAGGGAGGACCTGGTGTGCAAAGAGGAGGCAAGAGGCACCTCAGCAATGGGGAGCAAAGTGTGCAAACCCCCAGAGGCAGGAAAGCAAGTGGGAAAGTCAGGTGTTGGGGGGAGCACAGCTAGAGGGGGTGTGTGGAGCACTCGCAGGCCGGTCCTTTTTTGTTGTTGTTGAGACAGTCTCACGCTTTTGCGCAGGCTGGAGTGTAGTGGTGCGATCTCGGCTCACTGCAACCTCCGTCTCCTGGGTTCAAGCGATTCTCCTGCCTCAGCCTCCCAAGTAGCTGGGACTACAGGCACACACCACCACGCCTGGCTAATTTTTTGTATTTTTAGTAGTAATTTTTTGTGTTTTCACCGTGTTAGCCAGGATGGTCTTGATCTCCTGACCTCGTGATCCACCCACCTCGGCCTCCCATAGTGCTGGGATTACAGGCATGAGCCACAGCGCCTGGCCCGGTCCATTTATTTATTTAGCTCTATGTGGTTTTCAAATATCATCTCATTTAGTCTCATGACAAGCCTATGAGGTAGGTGTTGTTGTCAGGTCCCCTTTAAGATAGGGAAACTGAGGCACGGAGGTTTTAAGCAAGCAGCCCAAGTTGCCCTATTAACAGGATTGGAATGCCACCTGCCTGGCCACCATGCCCCGCTGCCTCACACTAGAACCTGCTGCAGGCCCTACACTGTCTCCACGAAAGCGCCTCGGCTGACACGGTGGCTGCAGATGCCAAGCTGCAGTCATCGCCATCTGGTCCCTGCTGCATTCAGGCCCCACCTGAATTCAGATCCCACCAAGCTTCCCTGCCCCTGGGAACAATGCTCCCCCACCCCCACCCCACTGGCTCTTTCATATCCAGGTGTTTCCTTCCAGCCAGAAGCAGACACAGCTGAGGAAACAGGCCTGTCCTTGTCCACGGGGGCCAGCCAGGGCAGCAGGACCCTCACCTCCCGGCTCCTTGGGAATCTGAGAAGTAGACCTCATGGGGGCAAGGGCTAAAGGTTGAGGGGGCCCCCTCAGGACCCAGAGCTCTGTCCTCTCACTCCCTTAGTCCCTCACTGCCAGCTCACTCACCACACGCTCCGATCCAAAAAAAAAAAAAACACAGCTATGACGTCTGGCAAGCCTGAGCTGCCCCTGAAACCCTGAGGGCACGAGGCAGCTCTGGTGGGAGAAGAGGGGAGGCAACAGAGGCAGGTGACCCAGGCTCTGCAGGTCCCCTCTCTCTGTGCCACAGGAGTGGCTGGAGGACAGGAGGCAGACAGAGTGTGGCCCTGGGAAGCTCCCCGTCTTTTCTGCCAGGGCTTTATTCCTGCAGCTGTGGTATAGGGAGGCCTGGAAGCTCCACATCTTTTCTGCCCAGGCTTTATTCCTGCAGGTATAGGGAGGCCTAGGTGGTGGGTTCTTCTGTCTGAACAGCTTGTCCGAGAAGCCAGCAATGGTGAGCTGGGGGGATGGGGGCACAAGGGACAGTCAGATCTGGAATCTTCATGTTCAGAATCTTCAGGTTCAGAAACTCTGAACCTGAGCCAGGCTTCCTCAGATCTTCCTCCAAGCCCTCTTACTTCAGTCTTCTCCTCTATCCAGGAGGTCACCCCCACTTTATCTCACACCAACAACAGGGAGCAGCAGCTGTGAACAGGTGGTCCCCATTTGCTTCTTTTTGCCGTGTCCATAGAAGGCTTCTATGGTTCTGTGGTCAGTCCTTGGGCTTGTTGTACCCCAAGGGAGTGATGAGCTGTGTGTGTGCACCTGGCCTGCGACTTGTTCAGTGCTGATGTTCTGTGTTTAAGGAAGAATGCTCTCTGAATCCCAATTCATTCATCCCTTCATTCTTTGTCTCTGATCTCATCCCTCTGCCAGGAACTGTGAAGGGGCTGGGTGCGGTGGCTCACGCCTGTAATCCCAGCACTTTGGGAGGCCGAGGTGGGTGGATCACGAGGTCAAGAGATCGAGACCATCCTGGCCAACACGGTGAAACCCCGTCTCTACTAAAAATACAACAAATTAGCTGGGCGTGGTGGCGGGCGCCTGTGGTCCCAGGTACTCGGGAGGCTGAGGCTGGAGAATCACCTGAACCCAGTAGGCAGAGGTTGCAGTGAGACGAGATTGCGCCACTGCACTCCAGTCTGGCGACAGAGTGAGACTCTGTCTAAAAAAAAAAAAAAAAAAAAAAAAAAAAGAGCTGTGAAGGACCTGGGTTATAAGTTAGAAGGATCTGTTAGTTATAAGTTAACTTAGAACTAACAAGTTAGCCCACCACAGCTTCATGGTCACCAGCAGAAGACATGAGACTCCAGAGTCAGAGACAAAGAACTCTATTACTCACAGCACAACTAGGAGCATGAACATTGTGATTATAGGTCCCCCTTTCCCCTAAGTCCTAGGGGCGCCGCAAGGAGCCCAATCCAAATGGACTCTGTTGCATCATAGCCCAGGAACCCTGAGCCTAGGAAACCCCAAATTTTCATGACGAGCTGCAAACAAACCTGCCCAACTTTTACCCTGAAAGGAGACATTATCTCTATTATATTGACAGCAAATTAGTCTTCTGTCCTAGAATGGACAGTATCTTCCAAGGCTGTTTGCTATACAAACGTATTTGAAAAGATGGTGCAGAAGAATGCTCACCAGGCATGCACAAACAGAAACCTATGGAGAATTGTCTCCCAACATCTTCCTAGTGTCCCCCACTCATTGCACCCCAAACGCTGTCCCTTAAAAACACTGGGCACCCTTGCAACTCAGGACTTGGCTATTCTCTTTGCTTAGAGCGTTCTTCCTGCAGATACCGCATGGCTTGCTGTCGGGCCTTTTTTAGGTTCCCACTCAAATGGCACCTCCTCAGGAGATCTCTCTCATCATCCTTTTGGAAACTGGCCGGGCGCGGTGGCTCACGCCTGTAATCCCCAGCACTTTGGGAGGCCGAGGCGGGTGGATCACGAGGTCAGGAGATCGAGGCTATTCTGGCCAACATGGTGAAACCCCATCTCTACTAAAATACACAAAATTAGCTGGGCGTGGTGGTGTGCACCTGTAGTCCCAGCTACTCGGGAGGCTGAGGCAGGAGAGTCGCTTGAACCTGGGAGGTGGAGGTTACAGTGAGCCGAGATCGCACCACTGCACTCCAGCCTAGGTGACAGAGCGAAACTCTGTCTCAAAAAAAAACACACACACACACACTTGGGGGTTGGGGGAAATAGGGAGATGCTGGTCAAAGGGTATGAAGTTTTCATTAGATGGGAGGAATACGGTTTCTGAGATTCATTGCACATTAGGGTGACTATAGTTAATAATGGTGTATTGTATATTTCACAATTACTAAGAGAGTAAATATTTCAAATGTTTTCACCAGGAAAAGGATAGGTATTAGATGGATATGTTAATTAGCCTTATTTCATCACTCCACATTATATACGTCTATCATAATATCACTTTGTACCCCATAAATATATGCAATTATAATATATCAATTGACAATAAAATTTAAAAGTTTAAATTTAAATCTATATTTAAATATCTACATATCCATGTATCTATATCTAGACACTGCACACCCCTCCCCAACTCTAGAACCCCTCCTTCCCCTTCCCAACTTTATTCTTATAGCACTTATCATATACGATTTAATTATTTGGTTGATTTTCTGTCCCCTACACACCCACTAGAGTGCAAACTTTCTGAGAGCAGGCATTTTGTGTATTTTAACTTATTGCCACATCCCTGGGACCTGGAACAATGTCTGACACATAGAAGGTGCTCAGGAACTATGGAATAAGTGAAACCATGAGTGAATGCTGTGGGCAGTGTAAGTGAGTGGGCACAGTGGGTGGGGAGTGACCACAGGACATCTCCCAGGTTGTTGGGATTTGTCCCTCAGCCACTTTCCCGCTGCCTATTTTGGCTGCCAGGAGTCTTGCTGACTGTGGGCGGAGGATGGTGTATTGCTGTCCTGTAATGTCGTATTCTTGCGCTACGGGGGGAGGGAGAGGAATTTTTAGATGAGCCCTGACATGCTCATCTAAAACATGCTCATGGCATGTTTGATTGGTCAGTACCTTGCACATTGCCCTTGTGGCACAAAAGCAGCAGTCAAACATTGCAGCCTTAGCTGTCCGTGATACGGCCCGAGAAAGATCAGCCACCCCCAGGTGACAGAGGTAGCTGCCAGGTCAGTGAGGCACAATGTCCTTCTCACCATTGTGTCTGTCTCCACATTTCTTATGGGACCAGTGTCTTCTTTGCAGTATTCTGAGCATCAAAGTAATCTCTGTTTCCTGTGTCATTTATTGTAGCAACCATGCCCAACAAACTTGTTTCTGTCATCCAGCCCAAGAGTAGCTTTGGGACAGTGACTCTGCCTTGTCTTCATATGAGTGCCTGACATTCATTCATTCGAGCATATTTATCAAGGGCCTTCCATGTGGTATAAACAGTGTCAGGTAATGGGGACTCAACAGTGAGCAAAATGGAGCCCCTTCCCATGGGGAGCTTATATTTTAGTGACAGCAGCCAGATAATAAACAAATGCAATAGCGTAGTCCCCTTACCTGCAGGGGACACACTCCAAGACCCCCAGGGGATGACTCAGACCTCCAATAGTACTGAACCTGGCTGCTGTCAATCAGAACACATTTCTGCTCAGGTCTTGCACCCACACATTTAATGCCCTTTCTATCTTAATGAAGCACTTATCATACACTGTGGCCATAACTTTGCAGTTTCAGCTGAGACAGCAAAACTAGCAAAAATTTGTTTTTCCTTCACAATTTCATGGCTAGAAGATTTGTTCTTACCATAGATCTTAGCTACTTCAACATACGACTTTTTTCTTTCCTTGTTAAGATGAGAACTTTCGCCTTTTCACTCACTTCAAGGAAGCACTTGACAGCTTCTCCTTGGCTGACTGACAGCAGCCAGGTTCAGTACTATTGGAGGTCTTAGGCATCCCCTTGGCATATCTCAATTGCCAGCATCACTTCTCTTGCAACTTGGGGCCATGAGTAAGTAAAATAAGGGTGACTTGAACACAAGCACTGTGATACCACGACAGTTTATCTGATAACCATGATGGCTAGCAAGTGGCTTACAGTCAGGTAGCACACACTGTGTACACCCACTGAACAAAGGGACGCTTCACATTCCGGGCAGGACAGACCAGAACGGTGAGAGGTTTCATCATGCTCCTCAGAACAGTGTGCAATTTAAAATTTAGGAGTCATTTCTTTCTAGAATTTTTCATTTAATATTTTTGGACCACAGTTGACCTTGAGCAACTGAAATTGCAGAAAGTGAAACTGCAGATAAGGGAGGATTGCTGTATAGGGCATCGGGTGCTAGGGAGAAGTACAGAGATGCACTGTGTTTGTTGAAAGACTTCTATGGGCCCTGTGTGGCAACCCTAATGCCCAGCCCATTTCAGACATTCTGCAATTAACTTTTCTCTTTGTGAACCACAACTTGAACCACAATATAGAACATGGATTGCCAACACGTCTGCTTTCTTTCTTTCTTTTTTTTTTTTTTTTTTGAGACAGAGTCTCACTCTGTCACCCAGGCTGGAGTGCAGTGGCGCGATCTTGGCTCGCTGCAACTTCTGCCTCCCAGATTCAAGCAATTCTCCTGCCTCAGCCTCCTGAGTAGCTGGGACCACCACACCCAGGTAATTTTTGTATTTTTAGTAGAGACGGGGTTTCACCATGTTGGCCAGGCTGGTCTTGAACTCCTGACCTTGTGATCCACCTGCCTTGGCCTCCCAAAATGCTGTGATTACAGGCGTGACCGTGCCCGGCCCGTGTCTGCTTTCAAGAGCCCAATAGGTAGCATAAATGATGATGTGGACAGGCTGATAGTGCTGGTGTGGTGTGCCTGGCACTGCCCCCGGCTTCAGAGTCCCCATTGTGAACTCAATAGGGACACTGAAGCCCTGGGGAGCACATGGCCCTTCTACAGGGAAGCTGCATGTCAACTCCAGCTAATTGTTGCCACACGAGATTGTGGGTCTGGTGTTGCTAGATCTTCCAGTTACTTATTTTAAGCAAAAGCTGGAAATCTTGATTTTTATATGAAATATGACTTTTAAATGTTGGCCACAGATTCAAATTTCCAAAAACTGTGGCTTCTCCTGGGGAAGGAAACTGATGGGCCAGAGCAGTGGTCCCCAACCTTTTTGACACCAGGAACCAGTTTCATGGAAGGCAATTTTTCCACGGAAGGGGTTTGGGGGTGGGTAGGGGTTTACTGGGTGGGGAAGGGGGCTGGGGCTGGGGCTGGGGATGGGGATGGATTCGGGATGAAACTGCTCCACCTCAGATCATCAGGTATTAGATTCTCTTAAGAAACGGGCAGCCTGGATCCCTTGCATGCGCAGTTCACAATAGGGTTCGAGCTTCTATGAGAATCTTATGCCCACACCGCCCCCCGCCCCAGGAGGCGGAGCTCAGGCGGTCCTGGTGGCTCACCAGCCACTCACCTGCTGCTGTGTCCCTAGTTCCTAACGGCCCACGGATCAGTGCCCATCCGCAGCCTGGGGTTTGGGGACCCTTGGGCCAGAGGATAGCTAAGAAGGAGTCTGGCTTTTCACTGCATAGCTATCTGTGCCTTTCAGATTTTTACCATACGCATGGTTTTTTATGTGAAAAGTGAATTTTAAAAATATACTAGACAGAGCAAAGTCTCTGAGAGTCTCTTACATGAGTCTGCGAAATGGTTAGTCTTCTTAAGCATTGTATTAGTCAGGCCACTCCAGAGGAACACAACAAATAGGATAGAGAGAGAGACTGGGAGGTGGGTGGGGAGTGGGTAGAGAACAAAAGGATGTATTAGCAGGGATTGGCTCCTGTGATTGTGGAGGCTGAGAAGTCTGTAATCCGTGGTCTGTAAACTAGAGGCCCAGGAAAGTCAGTGGTGTAATTCCAGTCTGAGTCCAAAGGCCTGAGAACCAGGGAAGATGACGGCGTCAGTCTCAGTCCAAGTCCGAAGGCTGGAGAACCAAGAGCGCTGATTTTGTCCAAGGGCAGGATGGATGTCCCAGCTGAAGCACAGAGAGCACATCTGCCCTTCCTCCTCCCTCTTCTCCTATTCAGGCCCTCAGCAGATCACGTGATGCCCACCCACATGGCTGAGGGCAGATCTTGACTCACTCCCTGCATTCAGATGCTCATCTTTCCTGGAAATAGCCTCATGGACACCTCCAGAAATAATGCTTCACCAGCCATCTGGGCCTCCCTTGGCCTGGTCAAGTTGACACATAAACCATCACAAGCATGCTGCGTGCATGGGGCGGTGAGACAGTTTCAGTGTGCTAATGGTGGGCCATAGGTGTGTGACGTCTGTTCCAGGGGTCTTGGGCAAGTACAGCCACCCTGCGGTCATTATGAGGTGACAGACTGGTAGACCACGCACCCCAGGGGGCAAGGACTATGTCTCATTCATTCATCTCTAACCTCTCAGGTCTTGTGCAATTTCTGCCCCATGGATTATGTTCTGAAGAGGCTCTTTGATTTACTCACCAACCTCAGCCACCCAAAACACTGCCAGGAACTCAGAAGACAGCCAGAGGGCCCTCTGAGCAAATAGAAGTTGCAAGTCCATGGATGGAAGTTTGATGCTCTTTTCATTGATCAGTTCTCAGGCTTTGTTTCTTCATTTTACATACAAGACAATTGCATGTGCTTATTCCGGCTTCCCAGCCTTCAGCAAACTGGCAGTTGGGTGGAGGAGCAGACACAGCCCAGGCAGGGCTGCAGCCAACACAGAAGGCACTTTGTTCAAATCAGAAAGAGGCACCCCTCTGAGTAGACAAATTACAGCAAGTTCCTCTTTGGATGGATGAATTGCAAAACCTCACCCTCCCTGCCTGAGTAAATTACAAAAAGGCCAGCAGAGCGGTGGGCTGGACTGCAGCCTCCACTCACCCACTAAGTGCAGAACACAGCTGGTGCTGCTGAAATGAGGAATCATACATGAGAAGTCAAACAGTAACAGCCACTCAATGTAGGATAGGGCTACCCTCGCCTACTGATAGCTCCTGCCATCGCCACCGTTTTATGGCACGGTGCATACAATGAGCTTCCATTGAGACTCATTGAGAAAACAGCCAGGCGCCTGGCTCACGCCTCTAATCCCAGCACTCTGGGAGGCCGAGGTGGGTGGATCACCTGAGGTCAGGAGTTCGAGACCAGCCTGGCTAACATGGCGAAACCCTGTCTCTACTAAAAATACAAAAATTAGCCAGGGGTGGCGGCGGGTGCCTGTAATTCCTAGCCTCAGGGAGGCTAAGGCAAGAGAATCGTTTGAACCCAGGAGGCGGAGGTTGCAGTGAGCCGAGATCGCGTCACTGCACTCCAGCCTGGGCGACAAGAGCAAAACTGTCTCAAAAAAAAAAAAAAAAAAAAAAAAAGATTAATTGAGAAAACATTCAGAGGCATGGTTTGGTGCTTGAAAGGGCAAGCTTTATTTCCTAAAAAATTCTTCTCATTCCTGAAACGAAGACACATTTGATGTTGATGCATTTTAAGAATGAGCTGCTTCTATTTCCATTTCCTGTCTACGTGCAAGCTCATCCCCTGGGGGCTCTTCCCCCACACTGGTGTGGTCAGCAGCCCCAAAGGACAGGAAATCGACCACAAAGGTCTCCTGTGGGAGGAGCAAGGAAGCAGCACCTGCACAAATATATAGAAACGCTGAATAAATGTTTGATGAGTGAATGCGTGAGTGAATGAAGGAATGAGCAAATGAATAGGGAGGCTTTCTGACAGTTACTGGTAAAGTTTCTTAGAATTTTACTTTCCCTTTTTTTTTTTTTTTTTTGAGACAGAGTTTCACTCTTGTTGCCCAGGCTGGTGTGCAGTGGCACGATTGCAGCTCACTGCAACCTCTGCCTCCCGGATTCAAGCGATTCTCCTGCCTCAGCCTCCCAAGTAGCTGGGATTACTGGCACCTGCCGCCACACCCAGCTAATTTTTTGTATTTTTAGTAGAGACGGGGTTTCACCATGTTAGCTAGGATGGTCTCGATCCCTGATCTTGTGATCCGCCTGCCTCAGCCTCCCAAAGGGGAATTTTACTTTCAATTAAAAATCAGCCCAGAAGCACTCTCCATTTGCCACAAAAATTCCTGGTATCTTACACTTCTCTTTTAGTCTTTATCTGTGAGATTTCTTTTCTTTCGAGGCTGCCCCGTGTTCATTATTAACCCAGGCCGCCCCAGACAGAAGTTTGTGTTCATTTTATTTCACAAAGACAGAGGGGGGTTCTGTGAGGTTTACAGAGGGGAAAGGAAGGCATGCGGACGTCAGGGGAAGTGGCCATGACCCCACGCCCCAGGTTGAGATCTGGGCTCTAGCCCTGGTTCTATCCTTCATGGCCACGTGGCTTTTGGCAATATTCTTCACTTTCATTCATTCATCAAATATTTATCTAAAATAGGTATTCATTGTCCACTGAGTGGCTGCTGCCCTAGATGCTGGACATGCTGCAGTGAAGGAGACACGCCCCATCCCAGTATTTGCCGAGTTCGCATTCTAATGACTAGCCAAGAAAACTAAGCCTGACAGGAAAAATTTCCATACTGATAAATGCTATGAATAAAATCAGAGTGTGCTAGAGTGTGACAGGGAGGGCTATTTTGGACAGGATGTTCAGGAAAGGCCTCTGAGGCAGTGACATTGACAACAAGACCTGAATGTCGAGGGGGAGCCAGCTGTGGGGAAAGCTGGGGGAAGGGTGCTCCAGGCAGGGGTGTGCAAAGGTTACGTTAAACCCACAGCACAACGTTCTTAAATTGACTGGCGGGCTCCCAGATGTTCATGTAATTACTATGTCCCTGAACATAATATATTAGCTCTCTTCTTTTGTGTGTGCCATCTGTTACACAGTAAAAAATAAGGTCAAATATACTTAAGATTAAGAAATCAGAAAATGTAGAAATGTATTAAAAATTACCTGTGACCCCACTGTTTATGGGTAAGTAATATCACTTTTTTTGTAGTTTAGTGTGTATCATTAAAAGGTAAGAGACTGACACACACACAAGTACAGGTGAAACTGGGGAAATCGGAATAAAATGTATCGACATCAACATCCTGGGGTTTTTTGTTTGTTTGTTTTTGAGATGGAGTTTCACTCTTTCACCCAGGCTGGAGTGCAGTGGTAAGACCTCAGCTCACTGCAAACTCCATCTCCTGGGTTCAAGCGATTCTCCTGCTTCAGCCTCCCGGGTAGCTGGGATTACAGGCACCTGCCACCATGCCTGGCTAATTTTTGTATTTTTATTAGAGACGTGGTTCCACCATTTTGGCCAGCCTGGTCTCGAACTCCTGACCTCAAGTGATCCACCTGCCTCACCATCCCAAAGTGTTGGGATTATAGGCGTGAGCCACCACGCCTGACCAATATCTTGATTTTGATACAGTAACATTGTTTGCAAGATGTTATCACTGGGGGGAAACTGGGTAAAGGGTACCCAGAAACTCTGTGCTATTTCTTGCCACTGCATGGGAATTTACAGTTATCTCAGAATTAAAAGTTTGACTAAAAAAGAGATAAAGACTCCTTTATCTGACACTGACCTATTTTCTGACCCTGTAGTTTTTATTTTCGTTTCTAGAATGTCATATAAATGGAACCATACGGCATGCAGGATTTAGCGCCTGGCTGCCTTTACTCAGCATGTCTCTGAGATTCACGCGTGTCGTTGCACGTAGTTCTCTTTTTAATGCCGAGGATTCTGCTGTGTGGGTGTATCACAGTTTGCTCATTCACGTACCCACTGAAGGCATTTGTGTTGTTTCCAGTTTGGGGCCATTCTGAATAGAGCTGCTATATATATCCATGAGCAGGTGTTTGTGTGAACATAAGTTTTTATTTCTCTGGAGGAAAAAGCTAGGGATTACGGGATCATACAGTAAGTGACGCATAACTTTATGAGAAATTGTCAAACTGTTTTCCAGAACGGCTGTGCCATTTTGCATTCTCACCAGTAACGTATGAGAATTCCAATTCCTCCTGACGGGTTGATGGGTGCAGCAAACCACCATGGCACGTGTATACCAATGTAACAAACCTGCACGTTCTGCACATGTATCCCAGAACTTAAAGTATAATTTTTAAAAAGAGAGAATTTCAGTTCCTCCGTGTGCTCTCCAGCACTTTCTATTGCTCATTTTAAAATCTTAGTCATTCTAATAGGCATATAGTGAGATCTCATGGTTTTCATCTGCCTTTCCCAAACTGCTGATAGCATTGAGCATTTTTTTAATGTGTTTATTTGCCATCCACATATCTTTTTTAGTAAAGTATTTATTTAGATCTTTTGCCCATTTGGGGAGTATTATTTGTTTTCTTACTGTTGAATTTTGAGAGTTATTTATTTATCCTAGTTTTCTTTTTTTTTTCTTTGTCAGATGTGATTTGCAAATATTTTCTCTAGGTCTATACTTTGCTTCTTCATTTTATTTTATTATTTTATTTTATTTTATTGTTGTTTTGTTTTGTTTTGTTTTGTTTTGTTTTGTTTCTGAGATGGAGTCTCGCTCTGTCACCCAGGCTAGAGTCCAGTGGCACGATCTCAGCTCACTACAACCTCTGCTGCCCGGGTTCAAGTGATTCTCCTGCCTCAGCCTCCTGAGTAACTGGGATTACAGGCATGAGCCACCACAGCCAACTAATGTTTGTATTTTTAGTAGAAATGGGGTTTCACTATATTGGCCAGGCTAGTCTTGAACTCCTGACCTCAGGTGATCCACCCACCTTGGCCTCCCAAATGTTGGGATTACAGGTGTGAGCCACTGTGCCCGGCCCGTTTTTTCATTTTGTTAAAGGTATCTGTCATAAAACCAAAGTTTTAAATTTTGATGAAGTCTAATTTGTCATGTTTTTCCTCTTATGGATCATGCTTTGGTATTGTATCTAAAAACTTCTTCCTTCACATGAGGTTACAAGGATTTTTTCCTATGCTTTCTTCTAAAAGTTTATTGTTTTGAATTTTACATTCAAATCTATGTCCACTTTTAGTTTATTTTTGTGTAAGGTCTGGAATTTACGTCAAGGTTTTGCTTCTTGTTTTGCATATCGATGATCAATTGTTCCATCACCATTTGTTGAAAAGACTCCTTTCTCCATTGACTTGCCTTTACAACTTTATCAAAAATCAATTAGCCATATCTGTGTGGGCCTGCTTCCGAACTCTTCGTTCTGTTCCATTGATTTATGTGTCTAGCCCTTCACTAATAACTTTATAGTAATTCTTAAAATAAGGAGTGCGAAGCTGAGCGTGGTGGCTCACACCTGTAATCCCAGCACTTTGGGAGACCGAGGCGGGAGGATAACGAGGTCAGGAGTTCAAGACCAGCCTGGCCAACATAGTGAAACCCTGTCTCTACTAAAAATACAAAAATTACCTGGGCATGGTGGCGTGTGCCTGTAGTCCCAGCTACCTGGGAGGCTGAAGCAGGAGAATTGCTTGAACCCAGGAGGCGGAGGTTGCAGTGAGCCAAGATCACGCATCGCACTCCAGCCTGGCGACAGAGCAAGACTCCGTTTCAAAAAAAAATAAAAATAAAGGAGTGTGAGTTCTCAGGCATTATTCATTTTCAAAACTGTTTGGCTAATCCAATTCCTCTGCCTTTCCCTATAAACTTTAGAATTGACTTATATGTATCTACAAAAAAAAATCCTGCTGGTATTTTTATTGGAATTACCTTAAATATGTAAATGATTTTGGAGAGAATTGACTTTTTTTTTTTTTTTTCAGACGGAGTCTCTCTCTGTCACCAGGCTAGAGTACAGTGGCATGATCTCAGCTCACTGCAACCTCCGCCTCCTGGGTTCAAACGATTCTCCTGCCTCAGCCTCCCGAGTAGCTGGGACTACAGGCGCATGCCACCACACCCAGCTAATTTTTTCCATTTTTAGTAGAGACAGGGTTTCATCATGTTAGCCAGGATGGTCTTGATCTCCTGGCCTCGTGACCTGCCCCCCTTGGCCTCCCAAAGTGCCGGGATTACAGATGTGAGCCACTGTGCCTGGCTGAGAATTGACATCTTAACTATACTGGGTCTTCCAAACAATGAACACAGTATTTCTCTCCATTTATTTAGGTCTTCTGTGATTTATCTAATTAGCATTTCATAGTTTTCATCATATGGCTCCTGCACGTTTTGTTAGATTTATCTCTAAATATTTATTTATTATTTTATTATTATTATTATTATTTTTTTTTTTTTTTGAGATGGAGTCTTGCTCTGTCACCCAGGCTGGAGTGCAGTGGCACAATCTCGGCTCACTGCAAGCTCCACTGCCCGAGTTCACACCATTCTCCTGCCTCAGCCTCCCGAGTAGCTGGGACTACAGGCACCCGCCACCACCCCTGGCTAATTTTTTGTATTTTTAGTAGAGACGGGGTTTCACCATGTTAGCCAGGATGGTCTCCATCTGCTGATCCTGTGATCTGCCCCCCTCGGCCTCCCAAAGTGCTGGGATTACAGGCGTGAGCTACTGCGCCCCACCTAAATATTTATTTAAAAAAAAAATTTGGAGCTATTGTAAATGGTATTGTATCTTCCGAATTCAGCCAATACAGATGTACACCATAATTTTATAACTGCATAGTATTTTGTTGCACAGATTAATTTATTTACTTGGTACTCTATAATTGTGCCTTTATTTTTTTTTTCTGGTTGTACTCTATTGTTAACAATGTTTTAATGAATGCTGTTGTACATATCATTTATCCATTTGTCCAATATTTCCCTTCAGATAGGTTTTTAAAGGTCGAATTGCTTAGACAAAAAAGTATGAATATTTTGAATTTTGATAAATATTGTCCAGCAATCACCCAGAAAGGCTATACTAATTTCTCTTCTCACCAACTATGTATGACTGGAAATTTTCTCATATCCTATCCTTGCCAATACTGGATGTCATTATCTTTTGTCATAATTTTTGCCACTCTCTCTCTTTTTTTTTTTTTTTGAGACAGAGTCTCCCTCTGTCACCCAGGCTGGAGTGCAGTAGCGACATCTTGACTCACTACAACCTCCACCTCCCAGGTTCAAGTGATTCTCCTACCTCAGCCTCCCAAGTAGCTGGGATTACAGGCACACGCCACCACACCTGGCTAATTTTTTTATTTTTTAGTAGAGACGGGGTTTCACCACGTTGGTCAGGCTGGTCTCGAACTCTTGACCTCATGATCCGCCCACCTCGGCCTCCCCAAGTGCTGGGATTACAGGTGTGAGCCACCGCACCTGGCCTGCCACTCTCATTTTAATATTCATTTCTATGATTGTCAGTAGGCTGAAATTGTAGTACATTATAATTACAATCCATTGCTGAATTCAATGAGTTGATATCTACTTTTAAATGTTATATCGATATTTGCATGTAAGTGTGGTCTAGTTTGCTATTTTGGTAAAATATGGATATGTAAAATTTACCATCTTAACCATTTTTAAGTATATAATTCAATGGCATTAAGTACATTCACAATATTGAGCAACCATTACTGCTATCCATTTCCAGAACCTTCTCATCATTCCAAACAGAGACTCTGTACCCATTAAACAGTAACTTCCCTTTCATCCCTTCCCCAGTCCCTGGTAACCTCTGTCATACTTGCTGTCTCTGCCTCTGTGAATTTGCCTATTCTAGGTATCTAATATTAGTGGAATTATACAATATTTGTCCTTTTATGACTGACTTACTTCACTCAGCATAATGTTCTCAAGGTTCATCCATGATGCAGCATATATCTGAATTTCATTCCTTTTTAAGGCTGAATAACTTTCCACTCTATGTATAAATCATATTTTGTTTATCTGTTCATTGCTTCTCTGTTGATGGACATTTGAGTTGCTTCTACCATTTTGCTGTTTTGAATAATGCTTCTATTAATATTGGTGTGCAAGTATCTGTTTGAGTTCCTGTTTTCAATTCGTTTGGGTCTTTACCTAAAAGTGAAATTGTTAGATCATGTGATAATTCTATGCTTGACTTTTTGAAGAACATGCCATACGATTTTCCACAGCGGCGATGCCATGTTGAATTCCCACCAGCAATGCACCACATCCTCCCAGAGTCTGCGCCCCAGAGCAATAAACTCAATGACTGGAAAGCAGGGGGACTCCAAACAAATCCAATTTCTCCACATCCTTGCCAATGCTTGTTATTTTGTGGTTTTTTGTTTGGTTGGTTTGTTTTGTTTTGTTTTGTTTTGGGACGGAGTCTCACTCTGTCGCCCAGGCTGGAGTGCAGTGGCGCGATCTCGGCTCACTGCAAGCTCCGCCTCCCGGGGTTCACGCCATTCTCCTGCCCCAGCCTCCCAAGTAGCTGGGACTACAGGCGCCCACCACCACGCCCGGCTAATTTTTGTATTTTTAGTAGAGACAGGGTTTCACCATGTTAGCCAGGATGATCTCCATCTCCTGACCTCGTGATCTGCCCGCCTCGGCCTCCCAAAATGCTGGGATTACAGGAGTGAACCATCGTGCCCGGCCGGTTTTTTGTTTTTTTGTTTTTGTTTTTTTTTTCTGTATATCTAAAATGGTCATTCCAATGGGTGTGAAGTGCGTGATCCATTTTTTTTTTAACTACCTTTATTAGATTTTGGTATCAAGGTGAAGCTGGCCTTGTCCAATAAACTGAGAATCTTCTCTTCTTTCTCCATGCTTTGGAGCAGATTAAATAACGTAGATATTTTCTTTGTAGGTTTGAAAAAACTTATCAGAAGAACTATCTGAGCCAGACACCACTCTCTTAGAGCTAGTTCTTTGACAACTGTCTCTATTTCCTCACTGGTTACAAATATAAGCAGTTTTTCTAACTCTTCTAGAGCCTTTTGAGTCATTTTTATTGTCCTAGAAAACCATGTGCGACACAGGGGACTCAGATTTTCTTTTTTGGTATAAAGAAATATATATATGACATTTATCATTTCTAATATTGTCTCTTCGTTATCTCTTTTTAGATTAGCTTTCCCAGTTATACGTTTGTTTGTTTGTTCGCTTGTTTTCTCTCCAAAAACAATCTCTTAGGTTTATTTGGAGTTCCTCTGCGTTCTAGTCATTGGGTTTATCGCTCTGGGGAGCAGACTCTGGGAGGACCTCCCACTGGGGTCACAGTGGAGCAGACAGAGGTCATGCTTAAGGGAGGGCTCTAGAGCCAGACGGTCTGAGTTCCAAGTCCTCATTCCTTGCTTACTAGCTATTTAACTTTGAATAGCTATTTACCCTCTCTGTGTTTCAGTTTCCCCATCTGCAGAACTGGGGAGGGGGGAGAGATAGAACCTGCCTCATAAGCTTAATATTAATATTAAAAAGTTGGCATTTCTTAAGTGCTTAGAAGAGTGATGCCTGGCACATAGTAAGCACTATATAAGTTTTCTCTTTTTTCTTTCTTTTTTTTTTTTTTTTGAGCCAGTCTCACCCTTGCCCAGGCTGGAGTGCAATGGCACCATCTCAGCTCACTGCAACATCCGCCTCCCAGGTTCAGGCGATTCTCCTGCCTCAGCCTCCTGAGTAGCTGGAATTACAGGCACCTGCCACCATGCCCAGCTAATTTTTTGTATTTTTAGTAGAGACGGGGTTTCACCATGTTTGTTGGGCTGGTCTCGAACTCCTGACCTCAAGTGATCCACCCGCCTTGGCCTCCCAACGTGCTGGGATTACAGGCATGAGCCACTGCACCCAGTCATAAGTTTTCTTAAATACATCTAGACTTCCCCCCAGTGTGCTAGAAGCCTAGGTCCCTTAGGAGCTTCTCCATTTCCCAAGGTGCTTTCTGCACCTTCCCACTGCTTCCACTAATTAACTACCTCTTATTTTGCAGAACCACCTCTGTGCAGAAAAGCAACCACCTTGTTCTCTATTCTGCTGCCCGAGACAACCACATCCTCCTCCTCCTACACCCAAAGGCTCCCATGGAGAGCTCAGGTCAGTGTGGTGGGGGGAAAGGGGTCTAGTGAGCCTGCTGCCGAGTGGGGAAGGCCCTTCTCATGGGTGAGGATGCCTCTAGGGCTGGCAGGACCCCCTGCACATAGACAGGCTGCAAGACCCCAATTCAGGGATCCTGCCTAAATGTAAGAACATCTTGAGAGTTGGACATCTACACACTTGCACAAGGCTCCAACTGCTCGCTGGACACTGAGCTTGACAATGGGAATAATGACAAGAATAGCCAAGATTGATTGCCAAATACTTGTGACTATTTAACAAAAACCTATATAGCACTTACAATGGATTGAGGAGGGATAAAAGCACTTGACAAATATGAACTCATTTAGTCTTGGTTAACCTCCTAAGACAGGTATTATTACTCTCGTTTTACAGGAGGGGAAATGGAGGCATGCCAGGGGCAGGTACTTTTCCCCCAGTCACATAGCTATTGAGTGGTCAAATCAGGAGTGGAACCCAATAGTCTAGCTCCAGTGTCTAGGCTTAATGATTTCAGTATGGATTGCTTCGCAAAAATGCCAGAAGGATTCTGTGAGGTGGGGCTAGCACGATGATTATCCTCATTTTTCTGAGAGGTAAACTGAGGCTTGGAGAGGTTATATAATTTGCTCAAAGCCACACAGCTAGTAAGTGGCAAAGCCAGAAAGTGGGGCCTAGTCCGGCTGATTTTCAAAGCCTGGACTCTTACCCTAAGTCAACTTGGGACAACAGGGAAAGATGACCAACCCCCACCAAGATGTGTGTCATCTATTGGTCACCCGGAAAGTCAAAGATCACACCTTAGGCCACCACGCTGAGACTCTAATTCCCCTAAAGATCCATCTCCTGGGGAAGGGAAGGGCATCCCCTAGGCAGGGTCAGCTGCTCGGTTGCTAATATTCCTATGGCATAAATTCTTTTGACATCCATCCATCCAACCATCCATCCATCCTCAGAGAGCCTCGTCCAATCAGAAGTAGCTCCATGGAGTCAGGCAACCCCAGTGAATCCTGGTGTTACAATATTCTGGGTCATCTGTAACCAGCTGGGGTTTGGGGTGGGAGGCTCGGAATGGGGAAGCTCTGTGAAAATCTCCTAAATACAGTCAGGCACTGCATATTGGCAATGTTTTGGTCAACGACGAGCCTTATAAACAGCAGCGGTCCCATAAGAGAGTACCATATTTTTACTGTACCTTTTCTATGTTTAGATATGTTTAGACACACAGATACCATTGTGTGACAACTGCCTACAGTACTCAGTGCAGTCACACGCTGTGTAGGTTTGTAGCCTAGGTGTGTAGTAGGCTATGCTGTGTAGGTTTGTGTAAGTGCACTCTGTGATATTCATACAATGATGAAATTGCCCCGTGACATATTTCTCGGAACATATCGCCGTAGTTAAGTGACACATCAAGGTATTTCAAAACCAACTTACTTTGCACTCACTTTATAACAATAAATACATGCCATGCTGTCTTTTAGGAAAAGAGGTGCACCAATAAAGGTTTATTATATATAAGCAATAGAAACTGATGTGGCCAATTTCATTTTTTAAAAATGTGGCCAAGCATCAAAGGAAAAGCTGAAGCACCAGACACCAGAAAGGGCAGGGGAAGGGTAGCCCTGCCAAAAGGACGGAGAGAGATAGACAGTGTCCTTGGAGAGCACACCAGGCGTCCTTCCCTCCTGGCCATTCTCTGAAAAAGGCTGTCTGAGAGAGACAGAGACAGAGAGTATCAGTCCTTGGGCAGCTTGGTCCTGTGCCCACACCAAGGCTGAAGCTAAGTAGGCACCTGGGTCACAGTCCCACCAAGACTGCAATAAGCAGGGAGGGATGCTGGGCAGGTGAAACCACTGACTTCCCCCTCCAAAGGTGTGGCAGATGATTCCCAGATCCAGTGGATAAAAGGAAACATCCCCAAATCAGGATGACCAGGACTGCAGTTGTCTTTCCACATTATGATTTTTTTTTTTTTTGAGACAGAGTCTCTCTCTGCCACCCAGGCTGGAGTGCAATGACACCATCTCGGCTGACTGCAACTTCCACCTCCCAGGTTCAAGCGATTCTCCAGCCTCAACCTCCCAAGTAGCTGGGATTACAGGCATGCACCACCATGTCCGGCTATTTTTTTTGTATTTTTAGTAGAGACGGGGTTTCACCGTGTTGCCCAGGCTGGTCTCGAACTCCTGACCTCAGGTGATACACCTGCCTCGGCCTCCCAAAGTGCTGGGATTACAGGCGTGAGCCACTGTACCTGGCCTGTGATTGTTTTTAACACTCTCCACCTTCCCACAGCTCTTGGAGTCCTCCCATCCTACAGTTAAGAAGAGGGGTACCTGAGAAGTAAAATATTTATTTCAGGGTATGCAAAAGAGCAATATTTCAGAGGCACTAAGGCTATTGTTATTTTGCCATGCCTGCAAACAGGAGTAAGATTGCAAAGGTTTTCCAAACAATCTGAGCCTTTATACTGCATAGGGGTAAGGAGGATCAGGTGTAGGCTGGAGGAGGTGCATCTGGGTACTGGGGGCCCTCTAGGTGTGACTTTCTGTGGTTGGAGAGGCAATATGTGACAAAGGTAAGGGCTCTAGACCTGGAATCTATCAAACAGGGAGAACAGTATTTGTCCTGCCAAACTCACAGGGTGCTTGTCAGAATCAAGTGAGATAAGACACTGGAAAACACTTTACATATCCATGAGTCAGTCAGAGAATAGTAGCTGCTTTAGCAAATGGCCCCAAATGTCAGAGGATTAAGACAACACATGCTTATTCTCACTCTCACCACAGTCCAATTTGGGCTTCAAGCAGGCAATGAGACTTATTCCCTCTTGTGGAAAGGGAAGAGGAGTATGGAGGACAGTGCAGGGAACACAGGCCTACAAGGGACTTAATCACTTCCACCACATTCCATTGGCCAGAATGCAGTCACATGGCTATTATCTAACTGCAGGGGAGTTTGGGAAATGTAGTCTTGCTGTCTCTTGGTGACAAAAATGAACTTGGTCTGGTGAGCACATAGCATCACCTTACCATACCTATGGAAGATTCTCTGTGTGTATGCCTTTCAAGTGCTGTTTAAATGTCAGATATCCAAGGAGGTGAAAGATCTTTACAAGCAGAAGTACAAAGCACTGCTAAAAAGAAATTATAGATGACACAAACAAATGGAAAACTATTCCAATGGTCACGGATTGGAAGAATCAATATTGTTAAAATGTCCATACCGCCCAAAGCAATCTGCAGATTCAACACTATTCCTATCAAACTACCAATGTCATTTTTCACAGAACTAGAAAAAAACTATTCTAAAATTTATATGGAACCAAAAAAGGGCCCAAATAGCCAAAGCAATCCTAAGTAAAAAGAACCAAGCTGGAGGCATCACATTACCTAACTTCAGACTCTACTACAAGGCTACAGTAACAAAAACAGCATGGTACTAGTATAAAAATAGACATATAAACAATGGAACACAATAGAGAATCCAGAAATAAAGCTACATACCTACAGCCACCTGATCTTTGACAAAGTTGACAAACATAAGCAATGGGGAAAGGACTTTCTATTCAATAAATGGTACTGGGATAACTGGCTAGCCATATGCAGAAGAATGAAACTGAACCACTACCCTTCCCCATATACAAAAATTAACTCAAGATAGATGAAAGATTTAAATGTAAGACCTCAAACTATATGAATCCTAGGCAACACCATTCTAGACATCAATCTTTTGAAAGAATTTATGACTAAGTCCTCAAAAGCAATTGCAACAAAAACAAAAATCGACAATTGAGACCTAATTACACTAAAAAGCTTCTTTTTGTTTTGTTTTGATTTTTTGAGACATAGTCTCGCTCTGTTGCCCAGGCTGGAGTGCAGTGGCGTAATCTCAGCTCACTGCAATCTCCACCCCCCAGGTTTAAGCGATTCTCGTGCCTCAGCTTCCTGTGTAGCTGGGATCATCATTACGCCTAGCTAATTTTTGTATTTTTAGTAGAGACAGGATTTTGCCGTGTTAGCCAGGCTAGTCTCGAACTCCTGGCCTCAAGTGATCTGCCCCCCTCTGCCTCCCAAAGTGCTGGGATTACAGGCATGAGCCACCGTGCCTGGCCTACACTAAAGAGCTTTTGCACAGCAAAATAAATTATCAACAGAGTAAACAGACAACCTACAGAATGGGAGAAAATATTCACAAAGTATGCATTCCAACAGAGGTCTAATATCCAGAATATATAAGGAATTTACACAACTGATTAAGCAAAAAACAAATAACCCCACTTAAAAAATGGGTAAAAGACATGAACAGACACTTCTCAAAAGAAGACATACAAGCAGCCAACAAATATGGAAAAATGCTCTACGTTACTAATTATCAGAGACATGCAAATCAAAACCATCTCACACCAGTCAGAATGGCTACTAGTAAAAAGTCAAAAAACAACAGATGCTGGCAAGGCTGTGGAGTAAAGGGAATGCTTATACACTGTTGGTGAGAATGTAAACTAGTTCAGCCACTGTGGAAAGCAGTTTGGAGATTTCACAAAGAACTTAAAACAGAGCTACCATTCGACCCAGCAATCCCACTACTGGGTATATATCCCCCCAAAAACAAATCATTCTATCAAAAAGACCCATGCACTTGCACGTTCATTGCAGCACTATTCACAAAAGCAAAAATGTGGCATCTACTTAGGTGCCTGTCAACAACAGACTGGATAAAGAAAATGTGTTACATATACAACATGGAATACTATGCAGCCATAAAAAAGAACGAAATCATATCCTTCGTTGCAATATGGATGGAGCTGGAAGCTATTACACTAAGCAAATTAATGTAGGAACAGAAAGCCAAATACTGCATGTTCTCACTTATAGGTGGGAGCTAAACTTTGGGTACTCATGGACACAAAGATGGCAACAATAGAAACTGGGGGCTACTAGAATGGGGAGGGAGGGAAAGGGGCAAGAGTTGAAAAACTAGTTAGTGTGGGTACTAGTACTACTCATATGAGTAGTACTATTATTAGTAACAGTACTCATAGTACCTAGGTGATGTGATCATCCATACTACAAACCTCAGCATCAAGCAATATATCCGGGTAACAAACCTGCACATGTACCTCCTGAACCTAAAATAAAAGTTAAAAAAATTTTAAATAAAAAAAGTTTAATATTAATAATAATATTAATACCTAATTAGTAATATCCCACATTCCTGGATGCAGAGGAGGATAATAATAATGGATGCCATTTATCTATTGACTATTCGAGTCATCAAGGATGTTAGACCTGCATACCATATGTGAACAATGCTGAGCCACTTGAGTCACAGGAAATATCCCATTTCTTTCTTCCATTTAATCAAATCAAAACCAGCTTCAACCTCTCATATTCCAAGGTTAGGATGAACTCTAGCATCATTCACTTGGAGTGCTTCCCCCTACGTGGGAGTTTGTGAGAAGCTCAGGGTTTATAAAGTCTGGGTAGTGGGAAAAGTCTGTCGTCTCCAGTCCACGGTGGCTACAGCCACCAGAACTGCTTGGCCAGACTTGCAAGGTGCAGAGGGAGATAGAGCCTGCCTTGAGGGACATTCTCGTGCTCTGGTGAAGATGGCTCAGGAGACCTTTGCTGTGGCATCAGAGGCACAGGGCTCAGTGCTTAGCGGCCTTCATCTGACCTTTGCCGCCACTGGTAAGCTTTGTCCCAGCCGGTCTGATTTTCCTCATTCCCTGGAACCCTATATCCCTTGTGCGTTCACAGTCTTAGGGAATCCAACCTCCACCCTTGGGCTGGGCCACTCTCCTCTTTAAAAGCATCAACCTTCTTCTGCACCTTTTTAGACAATCCAGCTTGATTGGCTCAATCAACTTGCCAGGAGCCTCAGACTCAGTGCCTCCAGGGGCCAGGCAGAGGATATAAATGAGTGAAACCGAGGCATGGGGAACTACAAAGACCTAGAGAAGCTGTGCCTATCTAAGGGGGCAATTGCTCCCCACCCCCTATGATTGTCACATGTGAGAAGAATCCAGGTTCGGTGTCAGCAGATTGTCAGATTTTCGAGAGATGCCAGAAACCCAAACGTTATGCAAAATCTCCTGACTTGTAAATGTTGGCAGCTAATTCATTGCTTTTTTTTTTTAAGACACTATACAAGCCCAAACAAAACACATAGCAAGCCAGATGTGGACCAAAGCCTGAGAGTTTGTTTTAGCTACCCAGACATTCAAAAACAAAATTTATTTGAAGTGGTCTCCCAGGGCTACTGGCAACTTCTCTATTTTTCTGTGAAACATAAAAATTCAACTTCCCTTGCAAAGCAAGGGGACCCAAGCTCAGAAGACAAAGGCTTGGCTGTGCTTCTGATGAGGGGAATGAGAGGAAATCACATTTGTCACAGTTTTCAGCCTTTCTTTGCAAATATACAATGGAAGACAGAATAAGAAAGAGGAAGAAGGAAGGAAAAAAGAAAGGAAGGAAGGGAGGGAGAGAGAGAAGGAGGGAGGAGAGAGAAAAAAGACTTAGCACCAGCTAATTTTCTAATAACTCATCCTGCATTAACTCATTAAATCTTCATGCAAGGTGGAAATGCATAGACGGAGGAAAGACTGTGACCAACCTTCATGCTGAGCTAAATGATTTCCTCAACAGTCTGGGGAGATGATGCTCTGCCCAGCAGAGGGACCAGGTGGGCAGATGTGGCTGTAGTATCCTGTCCACTCTCAGCCTGGAGGAGATTCAGGACCAGGCCTTGCCAAGTGGGGGCTTCAGGGATGTGGACCCCGTAGGCTTTGCATGGGTCTGAGGAGGGGCCAGACCATGAGCACTAGCACCTATGGTGACTTGGCCTAAAAATATTTTAACTCTTGGACTGCAATCTGCTGATTTTTAAATTTGTTATCTCTATTCTACTTACTTCCAAAGGAATCTGAAGCAATTCAGATATAGATTAAATAGAATATAAAGCAGGAGGACCAAAAAGGAGCCAAGAAGAGAGATCCCTGTCACATGAGATGAGCTAATTTTTGAGGCTGGGCCCCAATTTGACCGTAAGTTTCCTGATAGCCCAGTCAAAGAGGAACCCTTGGGGCATGTGGTTTGTGTTGTCTGACAACTGGAGAATACACACTCACCTATAATGGCAAACTCTTGGTGGGAGCTAATTGCAAAGAGGAATTTATTGTGTGAGGAGTGTTTCCCGTACTTCTTGTCTGAGTCTGGATCTGCCAAGAAGCAGACACCAAGTTCAAGGATTTATTTGGGGAAACACTTGTGTGACAGAAATGGAGAGGGACCTGGGAGAGCAGCTGTCAGACCCTGGTGCAAATCTGACTCCAAATGAAGGAGAAAAGGAAGAAGGGTCAGTGGAAATGCCTTGGACTGATGGGAGTCCAAGAAAAGCTCAGCAGGGCAGTTGGAGAAGCTTGAGCGTCTCCTGGGGAAGGTCCTGCTTTAGAACCACTACCATACCGTGTATTTTGGCTGGGAGGCGTGGCTCAGCAGAAAGTGATGGATTTCACAGCTGTCTTAGTCTGTTTGCATTGCTATAATATAAAGGAATACCTGCAGCTGGGTAATTTATAAAGAAAAGAGGTTTATTTGGCTCAGCGTTCTGCAGGCTGTACAAGAAGCAGGGTGCCAGCATCTGCTTCTGATAAGGGGCTCAGGGCTCAGGAAACTTCCACTCCTGGTGGAAGGGGAGCCAGTGTGTACAGATCACATGCTGAGAGATGAAGCAAGAGAGAGGGGGAAGGTGCCGGGCTCTTTTTAACAACCAGTTCTCAGGGGAACAAATAGAATGAGAACTCACTCATTACCGCAAGGATGGCATTCATGAAGCATCCACCACCATGACCCTAACACCTCCCATTAGGCCCCACGTCCAACACTGGGGAACAAATTTCAATATGAGATTTGGAGGGTCAAATATCCAAACCACTGCAACAGCACAGCAACTGGGGACCTGGTTCCATTAAACTCCCGGTAGTGGGAGAGGAGCGAGGTACATTCTCACAGCTACCACACTTCCCAAATGTCAGTTGCTTATTCTTGTACCACTTTCATGGTTTTTTTTTTTTCCCATGTCAACGTACCACTGTTAAAGAAAGAAATTATTCTGGAACTTATTAAATGGTAAGGAAGACTTATCCAAGACTATTGCATTAGGAAAGAGAAAGCAGTCTCAACTTGGAATAAAGAAAAGCCAGTTGGGGATTTATAGCCAATGAGCAGAGTGAAGGGGTCAGCGGATGGAAAATTCCTAAGAGGAGACATCAAGGGTCGGGACATTCTTGCTAAACTGAGCTAACAGGATTTTTGCTAGAGGCACAAGTCAAATTCTTATACATCGACGGTAAGGGATGAAGGGGTTCAGGAGATATCAAGAGTGGAGGACTCCAACCTAAACTGATTTGGCAGGATTCTTGCTAAAACTGGGATGGGCAGGCCAAAGGCAGGACAGGAGCCAGGGCTGAGCCCTAGTGAAGAAGAGGGCTAAGAGGAGGCTGAGTAAGGTTTGGTCAAGGAGAGAGTCTTTGTTACCACCTGTCCTGGTATGTATCTGATACGATTCTTTAAATTGACTTTAGATTTTAGCTTTATACTTGGGGCGGGGGGTGGAGACTACCAGAAAAGACAGGGTGCTGTAGGCTTCAAAAAAATAAATAAATAAAATAAATAAGTTTTAGCTTCATGCATGGATTCAGGAACTACTAAAAATAATGGCAAAGGCTTGGCGTGGTGGCTCATGCCTGTCATCCCAGCACTTTGGAAGGCCGAGGCGGGCAGATCACGAGGTCAGGAGATTGAGACCATCCTAGCTAACACGGTGAAATCCCGTCTCTGCTAAAAATACAAAAAATTAGCCAGGCGTGGTGGCAGGCGCCTGTAGTCCCAGCTACTCGGGAGGCTGAGGCAGGAGAATGGCGTGAACCCAGGAGGCGGAGATTGCAGTGAGCCAAGATTGCGCCACTGCACTCCAGCCTGGATGACAGAGTTAGACTCCGTCTCACACACACACACACACACAAAAATAATAATAATAATGGCAAAAACTGCAATTACTTTTGCACAAACCTAATAGTTTTTTATATATATATTTTATATATATATATTTCATATATATTTGGAGGATATATATATTTCATATATATTTGGAGGATATACATTTCATATACATATTTGGAGGATATATACTTCATATACGTATTTGGAGACTGTATATATACTTGATATACATATTTGGAGGCCATATATATATTTCATATATATTTGGAGGCTATATATATTTCATATATATATTTGGAGGCTATATATATTTCATATATATATATTTGGAGGCTATATATATTTCATATACATATTTGGAGGCTATATATATTTCATATACATATTTGGAGGCTATATATATTTCATATACATATTTGGAGGCTATATATATTTCATATACATATTTGGAGGCTATATATATTTCATATACATATTTGTAGGCTGTATATATTTCATATACATATTTGTAGGCTGTATATATTTCATATATATATTTGTAGGCTGTATATATTTCATATATATATTTGGAGGCTATATATATTTCATATATATATTTGGAGGCTATATTTCATATATATATTTGGAGGCTATATATATTTCATATATATTTGGAGGCTATATATTTCATATACATATTTGGAGGATATATATATTTCATATATATGTTTGGAGGATATATACATTTCACATATATATGAAAATACATACATGTATTTTCTAACATGCATTAAAATAAATGCATAACTATTCAGATTTTAAGGTCGTTTGTGTACCACCTAAAATTGTCCTACATACCACCAGTGGTACACATACTGCACTTTGGGAAATGCAGGTTTTACAAAGAACACAGAAACGTGGAAGGGAAGGCTATATTCCAGCCCTGGCTGGCATGCTGGCTGCCAGCTCTAAGTCGATTACTTCGGGCACCTCCTGAGGCTCAGAGAAATGGCTAAAGACACTCTCGGAAGGAATGGAGGTGGGACGAGGGTGAGGTTCAGTGGACTGAGTTTCCTCCCACCCCTACCACTGCCCAGATGTGGAGCTGGACCTCCAGAGGAGCGTGCAGGCTGTGCTCCGGGAGCTCAGCACCCAGGCCCCTGCCCTGCAGAGCAACCAAGGTAAGAGCCAGCTGGCAGCAGCAGCTGGTCCCTCTGACCTCCACCCAACCCCAGCCAACAATACACGCGCATACAGGAAAGAGCCCCGGCCTGGAGCTCAGGGGGCAAGGGTCGTCTCACCAAACCCCTTTCCTGCTGGAAATACCTAGAGCCTGAAGGACTGAGAAGGCTTCTCTGCTCCCTAGTTCAACCCTCCCAGCAACTGCCACAGAGCACATTGGGGATCTGCCACCCTTTTTCTTTCCTTTTTTTTTTCTTTTGTTTTTGAGATGGAGTCCTACTCTGTCACCCAGGCTGCAGTGCAGTGGTGCAAACTCGGCTCACCACAACCTCTGCCTCCCTGGTTCAAGCGATCCTCCTGCCTCAGCCTCCCAAGTAGCTGAGATTACAGGCGTGTGCCACCATGCCCTGCTAATTTTTGTATTTTTCGTAGAGATGCAGTTTCACCATGTTGGCCAGGTTGGTCTCGAACTCCTGACCGCAAGTGACCCGCCTGTCTCAGCCTCCCAAAGTGCTGGGATTGCAGGCATGAGCCACGGCACCCGGCCTGCCACCCTCTTTGTTAACCACCTTCCCTAGCTCCACTTCCAAACCTAATTCCCCTCAGCACTCCAGGCCTGCAGGACTTCCAGAATGTGGCTCGGAGCACACACCTGCAAGCACTGCTGCTCTGTGGTCCACACGCATACACCTGTCACACACCTGTCCCCACTGGTGTGTCCCACCTGCCCTCCTTTCTGCCCTGGGAATTCACTGTCCACAAAGGGCTACAGACTAGAACTCCCCACTTGGGAGGAGCCCACCCAGGTGCACCTGGAGCCAAGCGCTGGTGGCGGGGTCACACCCGTGGCTGGTCAGAGCTGCAGCTGAGGCTCCAGGGCTCAGGGTCCTGCTCAGAGGGGTCTCCTCTAAGAACTGCCCACCTGCTCATGCCGGGCTCCCCTTTCTCCTGGCCCAGGCATGTGGAGGTGGTCCCTGCACAAGAAGGTCGAGCGAGATCCCGGTAAGAGCCCAGTGCTGGTCCGCATTCTTCTCAGAGAACTGGAGAAGGTGAGTTCCTGGACCTCAGGGAGGAAGACGGGGATGAAAGGAAGAGAGGGGCCAATTGGGCAGGGGCTCAGTCCTGGCAGCGCTATATCTCATAAGCTTTGGTTGCCTGCATGATTTTTACCATATGCATCTCCCTCCTGTACTTTTACGTAAGCAGTATTTTCTTTACGTCGACTCTCATTGTTTTACTTGAATAAACATCTTTCAAAAAGAAGCACTATAACGCGACCACAAATGGAAAACCCGCATCACTTGTCAGAAACAGAAGGTACCTATAAACATAAATATACGACTATTGACGTTTCTCAAAATTATCCTCGGGCCACCTAAATTCTCCTTCACACTACCCAATGTTGTACTTTGCAACCGTTTGGGAAACACTGCACTCAAGGGAGGCTCCGAGCTGAGGACTTGTTTGTTGCTTTGCTGCGACTCCTACCCTAATTAAATTTGGCCCCTCACCTGCAGAGTTCTCTGAGGCCCCCCCACGCTCCCACACCCTCACTGAGGGGCTTCCTCACCTGTGTGCCCTCCCCTCCCCACTCCTCTATCCAGAGCAGACAATGGCCCTTTGCTCTCCCCCTGGCTGCCTTCCACCCCATCTCCTGCCCACTCCCAGCCTAGACTGCCTCCCGCTATGAAGTGGGGATTCCCCCAGCCCAATACCTGTCACGTGATCTCCTGTTTTCCAGGCGGAAAGCCAGGACCTCCGGCATGTCATCATTCCCTTGCTGCACACTGTAATGTACGTGCTCACCAAGGTGAGCTGGGGACTGAGGTCGAGGTGGTAGTGGTGACCTGCATGTGGCTGGGCTGGACACTCTCCCCTTAGTGGGCACTCAGTCTCCGCCAGGATGAGCCTAGAAAATCCCTTGGATTGCCTGCCCTAAACTGGCTTCTGAGCACTAGCCACCCCCTTTCCCTCCCATATGGAGAGAGAACTCTGGAGAGACAATGGCCTTGAAAGGCAGGATGAGGTCTTTGGGTTTGCTCCTGTGTGCAGTGCAACAGGAGACATCACTGATCCCTACACAGAGAAGAGACATGATACTCATGTGGTTAATGTCTCAGGAGGAGTAATCGGGAGCTGCGTGTTGTTGCAGCGGGTGGGAGTGGTGGTTAAGGCAGGCAGGAAGACCAAGTCTGGGGTTGCTGGAGAGTCCAGGGTCAAGATGGGGCTTAGCTCCGGCAGAGACGGAGGGCACACTGAGGTCGGGAGGGAGAGGGGGGCCTCCCGGGCACTGTGGAGCATTTCAGGCCTGTGGGATGCAAGGAGGAGCAAAGGAGACTGAGGAAGTGCCTCCATGGTTTTGAGCCTGGAGAACCGCAGGAATGTGCTTCCCTGATGGAGCAGGAGGGCTGGGAGGAAGTTGATTTGCTTGCATAACTTGATGCAATGAATTTTTATCTTGGTAAGTTGGGGCGGGGCGACAAATGGATGTCTTACAGGTGCTGGGAGAAGAGGCTGGAAGGTGTGGGTTTGGGAGAGAGCTGTGAGCCCAGGTCTGGCTGTTAGGCCTGACCTTCCACCTCTTCTCCCAAGCCCCTCCCCGGAAACTCCCCCGGGACCCTTCACCTCCCCCTCCTCCCTCTTACCTCCACCTCCTCCCTCTCACCTCCCCCTCCTCCCTCTCACCCAGGCCACAGGAATCACAGAAGAGCTCTACCAGAGAATCTATGCCTTTTGCACAAGGTTACTGACCCTGCCCACCCCCTACTGCACAGTCGCCTTGGACTGCGCGATAAGGCTGAAAACGGAGATGGCTGTCCCAGGTAAGAGTCACTGGGCATCTTTGTCTCCCACGCTGCACCTCCAACATTGCCCAGGGTCTTTCCTTTTTCTCCAGGATACCGGGGAGCTCAAAAGCCTCCACACCTTCTGTAGGAAGGTGGAGAATGGGAGTCAGAGACTTGGGGGCTGTTTGGCCAAAGTGGTCTGGTTTGCAGGGACACTGTACCAAAGGATGGTCATTGCCGAACAGAACTTGACGAATGAGCTGTATCCCTACCAGGAGAGGTGAGTGGCCCCAGAAAAATTGCTACCTTCAGCCTCCTAAAACTGTTGTGGCTTTAGTGACTGCTCCCTGGCAGGAGGACAAAAGAGGAGGCTGGATTAAGAAGAGCCCTAGCAGACCTCCCCAGCCATGATATTTGTCCAGCAGTGGGGTGCGTTTGCCATTCAAGGTTGGCGCCATATTGTTTTCTGGAGACCACTGAACACAGGATAGGTCTTTCTTCTCAGGTTGGATTGGAAGCTACCCTGCTCACATGCAGAAGGTGGACATGGCCTCGGGGCCACTCTGGGGCTCTGTCATTCCACCTCCATCCTGCCCTTGGCCATAATGCAGCATCATACCAGCCAGGCAGCCAGAGGAGACTCCAGAATAGCCATAGCGGAGGGGCTCAGGCGCAAGTGCACAATGAAGCCAGAGGGCTTCCATGGGGGACGCCAAGCCTCTTAGATAAGACTGAGGAAGTGTCCCCTGCTCGTGTTGGGGAGAGGGGTGATGAAGTTGGGAGCGGCACCTCCCTCTTCTGCAGGCACCTCCACTAACTTGGCCCTGAAAGGCACAGCTTGAGTTTGGGGTGTGAGGTGCTGAGTTCATGAAAGATGCAAGGAGGCCCAGGGCACCCATGGGAGAGGTGGGGAGACACAGTGGGTGAGGAGGAGGGAGTAGGGGAGGTTGGCTCTCTGGTGTGATAAGAGTGATGAAAGAAGGTGAGATTCACTCAGAGTTCAGAACTCCAGTTCTGGCAGGAAGGATTTAGGGTCCCTCCTAGAGGGTGACCTGGTCCCTGGGCCAGGATGCTGAGAGAGGGAGCAGGATTGAGGCTGGAACTTTCCTAAACATGGGACTAGGCCTGCTTTCCTCTGTGGACAGTGGATTAGAGCTGCCCCTCTAGAAGGGCTGTGCATGCTCTTATTTGCCACAGTCCTCACCACTCCCTATTGTCATCCCACCCAGAGACTTTTGAATCTGAGACTCCTCTTTTTAGCAGAATTAAATTACTTGGAGGTGCTGCACAGCTCTGAGGGTGCCCATCCGGTGGCCCCTCTCCCATTAGTTACTATCAATCCCACCTCTCCCCTCTGCTTCTGCCCTCAGAGTGTTCCTCTTCGTGGATCCTGAGCTGGTGTCTGCGTCTGTGTGCAGTGCTCTGCTACTGGAGATCGAGGCGGCCCAGGCGCAGCAGACACCAGAGACCTGCATGCGCCACGTGGTCTCCCACGCCCTGCAGGCGGCTCTGGGGGAGGCCTGTCACGCAGGCGCTCTGCACAGGAAGCTGCAGGTAATGGCCCTGCCTGCAGCCCCTTGTCAGTCCCAGCCCTCGTCCCTGCATGCCCATACCAGTCATTCACCCTGCTCTTCCTCCTTCTCCTGTTTCGCATCACCTTTTCCCCCAAATCAAAAATTAATACATTTTGGCTGGGCGCAGTGGCTCACACCTATAACCCCAGCACTTTGGGAGGCTGAGGCGGGTGTATCACCTGAGGTCAGGAGTTCAAGACCAGCCTGGCCAACATGGCGAAATCCAGTCTCTACTAAAGATACAAAAACTAACTGGCCGTGGTGGCGGGCACCTGTAATCCTAGCTACTCTGGAGGCTGAGGCAGGAGAATAGCTTGAACCCGGAAAGTGGAGGTTGCAGTGAGCCAAGATTGTGCCACTGCACTCCAGCCTGGGTGACAGAGAGAGACTCCATTTCCAAAAAAAAAACCAATAATAAGATATAAGATAATGCCAGTATTCCTAGCAGCAGGGTGAATGAGTGTCTCAGCCCCGAAAGCAGGAATCTGGGTCACCACAACAGTAGCTACTACATCATCTCACTCGGAGTCAAAGCCAAAGTGATTGCAATGACCTATAAGAGCCTGGTGTGGTGGTTCATGCCTATAATTGCAGGTACTTGAGAGGCCGAGGCAGGAGGATTGCTTAAGGCCAGGGGTTTGAGACCAGCCTGGGCAACATAGCAAGACCCCATTTCTACAAAAAGTAATAAAAAAAAAAAAATACCAGACGCAGTGACATGTGTTTGCAGTCCCAGCTACTCGGAAGACAAGAGGATCACTTGAGCCAAGTTCAAGGCTGCAGTGAGCTGTGACTGTACCACTGCACTCTAGCCTGGGTAACAGAGAGACACCCCATCTCTAAAAATAAAAATACAAGAACCTCATCTTGAGGGCCTTGACCTGTTCCCATCTCTCTTCATTTCCTCTCTGGCCTGTCTCCTAACTTTCCCTCTCATTTCCTCTGCTCCAGCTAAACAAGCCTCCTCATTTGTCTCCCAACATGCACATGCCTAACATACTTGCACCCCAGGGCCTTTGCGCTGGCTACTCCCTATGCTTGGAACGTTCTCTTAGATACCTGCACGACTCACTCTTTTTTTTTTTTTTTTTTTTTTGAGACGAAGTCTTGCTCTGTTGCCCAGGCTGGAGTGCAGTGGCGTGATCTCGGCTCACTGCAAGCTCCGCCTCCTGGGTTCACGCCATTCTCCTGCCTCAGCCTCTCTGAGTAGCTGGGACTACAGGCGCCGGCCACCACACCCAGCTAATTTTTTCTATTTTTAGTAGAGACGGGGTTTCACCGTGGTCTCCATCTCCTGACCTCGTGATCCACCTACCCCGGCCTTCCAAAGTGCTGAGATTACAAGCGTGAGCCACCGCGCTGGGCTGCATGGCTCACTCTTTCACTTCAAGTCTTTACCTAAAAGTCACTTTCGGCCAAGCGCGGTGGTTCACGCCTGTAATCCCAACACTTTGGGAGGCCAAGGCAGGCAGATCATGAGGTCAGGAGATCGAGACCGTCCTGGCCAACATGGTGAAACCCCGTCTCTACTAAAAATACAAAAATTGGCTGGATGTGGTGGTGCGCACCTGTAGTCCCAGATACTCGGGAGGCTGAGGCAGGAGAATCGCTTGAACCCAGGAGGCAGAGGTTGCAATGAGCCAAAGTCACACCACTGCACTCCAGCCTGGGTGACAGAGCAAGACTCCGTCTCAAAAAAAAAAAAAAAAAAGTCACTTTCTCAGGGGGGGCTTCCCAGATCACACAATCTCTTTTGTTTGCTGCTGTATCCCAGCCCCTAGAACAACACCTGGTGCAGTGAGCTATTCTAAGTGCTGGAGATGCAGCTATGAATGAAACAGACAAAATTCCCTGTGAATTCCTGGAATTCACAATCTAGTGGGGGCTAGAACATTGATCCAAGTGCTGGGTGACGCTTTCAGGAAGTGGGCGTCAGTGGCTATCTCTGCCTCTCTGGGTAACAGACATTGCAGACCAGTAGTCTCCCCATAATAGCGTGTGAGGGGCAGAGGGGAACCCCCACTTGCAGGGCAGGCATAGGGCCCTGGATGTGGGATCCAGAAGCCTTCGGGGGAAGCTCCTGCCGGGCCCCCAGGGGCAGCGGAGAGGTGTCACCTTGGGCTGCCAGGGCCCTGCGGACTTGGCTTAGGAGCTGGGGTGCGTGGGCGCTGGGCCAAGACCCAGGCTCTGACGCCCCTCCCCAACAGGCCAGCCCTCGCCGCACCCTGGAGCACTATTTCCACGCCGTGGTGGCCGCCTTGGAGCAGATGGCCAGCGAGGCCAGCCCGAGCCGGGAGGGACACGTAGAGAGGCTGGAGGAGATTTACTGCTCGCTGCTGGGTCCCGCGGCGGGGCGCTGCGGTGGTAAGCGACTGGCAGATGGGGGGCCTTGGCAAGAGTCCCGCGGGGGCAGCTCACTGCACAGCAGGGGGCGCCAGAGAGCAGCGCTGGACCTGCCTCTGTCTGGGTGCCTGGCCGACTCCCAGGAGCCTGGGGACTGGGGGCAGCCTGGGGGTTTGGCAGGACCGGGACTAAGAGGCGGGTAATTAGGCTGGGAGCGGTGGCTCACGCCTGTTAACCCAGCATTTTGGGAGGCCGAGGCAGGCGGATCACCTGAGGTCAGGGTTTCGAGACCAGCCTAGGCAACATGGGGAAACCCTCTACTAAAGTAGTAGAGGGTTTAGTCTCAAAAAAAAAAAAAAATCAGCTGGGCGTGGTGGTGGGCACCTGCAGTCCCAGCTACTCGGGATGCTGAGTTAGGAGAATCACTTGAACCAGGGAGGCGGAGGTTGCAGTGAGCCGAGATCACACTACTGTACTCCAGCCTGGGCGACAGAGCGAGACTCCGTCTCAAAAAAAAAAAAAAAAAAAAAAAAAGAAGGTGGGTAATTTGGTCATGATAACCGCCGATGCCCACAGAGCCCCTACTATACTCCAGTTGCTGTTCTAATCACCTTACATATATTTAAATATATTGCGTATACTGTATTAAATCAATGAAACCTCACAGTCAACTTATAAGCAGAAACTATTATTATCCCCATTTTACAGAGGACGAAACTGAGTTAGAAAGAGGTTAAATATCTTGCCCAAGATCACCCAAGGCAGTAAATGGCAAAGCCAAGATACAAATCCAGGCTGTCTAGTTCACTACTCAGCTGCAGTAATCCAAGGATTTGATCGTCCAAGGACCAGAGCATCTAAAAGAGCAGATGAGTCAACATCGTTTATATCTGGTATCATAGATTTTTATTCCTCACCCTTCCTATTTGCATATTTATAAGATAACGCCTTATCTTATGCAAGGCATAATGTAGGTAAGATAATGCCTACCCTGACACAAGCCCCATGTGGATGGGGGCATCTGAAATAGCCCAGAGAAACGTCCCGAATATGTGTTTCCTGGCTGTTGTAGGATGGTTCTGATTTGGGTCCTATTTCGTGGTCATTCAAAGTATCATGGAATATGTCAGCCTGCATGTCCCAGATATGCACAGTCACTGATCGTGCACCTGTCATTATAAGGCATGGGGTTAAGGACTGGAATCCACCGGAAGAGGTTAGTGTGCCAGGCCCTGGGTTTGAACTTGGCAGCCCAGGTTGGGTGGAGGCCACAGCAGTTGGGTGAGGTGGGCAGGATAGTCCCTGCCTAAAGACTCCATCTTCGAAGTTGTCCGCTCTTTTACTTTAACATTCTACACTGCCTCTGATCCCACATGGAAAAAGCTCCTCCTGTACCCCAAGCTGGGACTAACCCTGGGGCCAATCTGGCTTTGCTCCCCTTGTGGCCCCTTGCTAACACTCACCAGTGACTCTGCATGGATTAATTAAGACCATCTGGGCCACCCCCAAGACACATCCAAGGGCACCTGTCTCCTGCCCAGACTTGCCCTGTGCCTTTTTTTTTTTTTTTTTTTTTTTTTTAGACAGGGTCTTGCTCTGTCACCCAGGCTGGAGTGCAGTGGCTCGATCATGGCTCACTGCAGCCTTGACCTCCTGGGCTTAAGCGATCCTCCCACCTCAGCCTTTCGACTAGCTGGGACCACAGGCACGTGCCACCACACCTGGCTAAGCCCTGTGCATCTTTTTTTTTTTTTTTTTTTTTTTGAGACACAATCTTGCTCAGTCACCCAGGCTGGAGTGCAGTGGCTCAATCTCCGCTCACTGCAAGCTCTGCCTCCTGGGTTCACGCCATTCTCCTGCCTCAGCCTCCCGAGTAGCTGGGACTACAGGCGCCTGCCACCATGCCCAGCTAATTTTTTTGTGTTTTTTTAGTAGAGACGGGGTTTCACCGTGTTAGCCAGGATGGTTGCGATCTCCTGACCTCGTGATCCACCCTCCTCGGCGTCCCAAAGTGCTGGGATTACAGGCATGAGCCACCGTGCCCGGCCAAGCCCTGTGCATCTTAATGACCAGGCAGCACCCCCGTCAAGCCCCTGTGGCTGTAGGGGGCAGTATGGAGTGGTGATTATAAGCACAGTGTTGTGGGTAAGAGCAGGAACTCTGGAGCTGAGCTGCCTGGGCTCAAGTCGTCACTGTACTATTTACTATGTGACCTTGGGCCAGTTATTCAACCTCTCTGTGTCCTGGCTTCTCCCCTGTAAATTGAGGATAATAATGTCACCTGTTGCCCAGGGCCATTGGCAGGATCCAGAGAAATGATTACAGTGTGTGCCAGGTGAGTAGAATAAGGCCTGGCAGGCAGTAGGTGCTCAGTGAACACTAGCTGCTCTCCCCTAAGAAGCTTGCAGCCTCATGAGTGGGGAGCCACAGCAATATAGAAGTGAAACGGGAATACGGAGCCAAATCCTAAGACCACATGTGAGGTGTGCCCAGTGTGCAGACAGTCTGCTCGGAGGGAATGACCACCGCGGGCCACTGGAGTGGTCAGAAAAGATTCTAGAAAGAGAAGCAGGAAGAAGGGCTGTCCTTTGTCTCTCCCCTGGACTGCCCGGGGTTCCTGCTGCCCCCAAACTTTGTTGATGAGTTCTCGTCAGCATCGCCGACAGCTGCAAATGTTAACTGAGTGTCTACTGCATGCAAGATATTGGAAGCAGCCCTGAGAAGGGCAGGGGTCTTTCCTGCCTCGTCTGGATGCAGGCAGGGCATTTTAAGAACAGTGGGAAAGCCAGTCTGGCAGCTGCACAGGGCTGAAGGCATGGCCAGCATAGGAGCATAGGTTGGAAAAGGCCTTGTGAGCTGGTTTGTGAAGACCCCCTAAGGGTTGAGCTAGGTTTGAGAAAACGTAGCTACTAAGCATTGTTGGACAGGGAGGGGACAGCTGCACTGTTGGGCCCTGGATGGGCTGGTGGTGGCAGAGATGGAAAGGCAGACCAGATGTGAAGGAGAGAGTCCCTGCCACCTCTCTAAGACCCCGCACAGGAGCTGGGCAGGATGGGGAGGGCAGAGGAGGGTCCCATGGCCTCCTCCATGGCCTCCACAGCCTGCTCCTTTCTGCAGGTGACCTTGTCCAAGAGCGGCCACCAAGCATTCCCCTGCCCAGCCCCTACATCACCTTCCACTTGTGGACCGGTGAGGAGCAGCTCTGTACGTGCCCATGGAGCTGTCTGGAAACAGTGGTATATGTCTGTGTCTGTGTGTGTATGCGTGCATGAGTGTGTGTCAGTGTGCATGCGTGTGTCAGTGTGTGTATGCATGAGTGTGTGTCAGTGTGTCTGTGTGTGTATGTGTGCATGAGTGTGTGTCTGTGTGCATGCGTGTGTCAGTGTGTGTGTATGCATGAGTGTGTGTCAGTGTGTGTGTATGCGTGCATGAGTGTGTGTCAGTGTATGTGTGTGGATGCGTGTCAGTGTGTGTATCCATGAGTGTGTCAGTGTGTCTGTGTGTATGTGTGCATGCGTGTGTGTCAGTGTGTGTATCCATGCATGTGTGTGTGTCAGTGTGTCTGTGTGTGCTTGCATGGGTGTATGCGTGCATGCGTGTGTCAGTGTGTGTGTATGCATGATGCGTGTGTGTGTCAGTGTGTCTGTGTGTGTATGCGTGCATGCATGTGTTTCAGTGTGTCTCTGTGTGTGTGTCTGTGTGTGTGCACGTGTGTGTATGTCTGTCTGTGTCTGTACATGTGTATGTGTGTGCATCTGTGTGTCTCTGTGTGTGAGTCTCTGTGCATGTTCATATGTGTGTCTTTATGTGTCTGTCTGTGTTTCTGTGTGTGTGTATCCTCTGAAGAGGACTGGCTGAAATCAGAAACGTAGCCCTGCCAGCCTCACGTGTCCTCACCGCCCTTGTTCCCCCACCCCAGGGAAGGAACTGGTGCTCTTCCTCCGCCCAAGATCCCAGCTGCGCCTCAGTGCTGACTTGGAGGTCTTGGATCTGCAGGGCCTCCGGCCGGACCGGGAGTTGGCCCGGGTTTCTGTGCTGTCCACTGACAGCGGCATTGAGCGGGACCTTCCCACGGGGGCTGATGAGCTGCCTGCACCCGGCAGCCCTGAGATGGAGCGAGCCGGGCTGCAGCGCAAAGGGGGCATCAAGAAGCGTGCATGGCCCCTGGACTTCTTGATGCCTGGCAGCTGGGACGGGCCCCCAGGGCTGCACCGGAGGACAGGCCGGCCCAGTGGGGATGGGGAAATGCTGCCCGGCGTGTCCCGGCTGCACACAGCCCGGGTACTTGTGCTCGGAGATGACAGGATGCTGGGGCGCCTGGCCCAGGCCTACCACAGACTCAGGTGGGGCCCCGACGTGGGGGCTGGGGGTGGGCGCTGGTCAGGGGCACAGGTGGGCCTGGCGTGGGCTGGTGAAGGATCACAGGGTGGCAAGAGAGGGTCAGGAGGCAGAGGCCAGGGTGGGACGGAGGAGGATGCCGCACAGTGCCCGCAGCCGTCACAGAGCACCGCAATCCCTGCTTTGTGTTCGTTAGCTCCGTGAACCCTCATCACCATCCTGCGAGGGAGACATTACTGTACCCATTTTGTAGATGAGAAAGCAGAGGCTCAGAAAGATGACACAAATTGCCCAAGGTCAAGAGATAACAAATAGCAGAGCCGAGTCTGTTTGAAGCCAAGCCCCGCCCCTAACCTCCTCTGCTTTGCTGCCCATTGCTAGGAAACGGGAGACCCAGAAGTTCTGCCTCACTCCCAGACTCAGCCTGCAGCTCTACTACATCCCCGTGCTGGCGCCTGAGGTGACTGGACCGCGGGGAGGCGGTGGCGGGGCAGAGACAGGGCAGGCTGGGCAGGGACACACCTGCAGCCCCGCATCCCCCACATCCCCGGCTCAGGGACTAGAGTAAGCATCCTTAGAATGTGGAGGCGGGAGAGAGGTCAGCGGTCTTCTATTTCAGAGGCTGCAGACGGTGCTCTGGGGGTTGCATGTGGCCAGAGATTGGGTCTCTCTCTTGATGGCAGCCTGCTTGCTGCTATTTGTTTTGTTTTTGTAGGTAATGGAATTAGTTGCAAACTTCTCAAACACAGGGCGGTCTCTCTCTCTCTCTCTCTCTCTCTCTCTCTCTCTCTCTCTCTCTCTCTCTCTCCTCTCTCTCTCTCTCTCTCTCCCCTTCCCTCCCCTCTCTCATACACACACATACACACACACCCCACACTTTCTGGTATGACATGAAAGGAAATTGCAGGCAGTGAAGTCCATTGATCTAGTTGTGGGGACAGAGCCACACTTGCAGTCCTTACTCCTACCGCATGCTCCACTTCCTACTACACACTCCACTTCCTATTGGGAAGCAGTAAGGTCAAAGCCATACTTGTCTCTCCCCTTTTAAAGTCGGTGATCATTTTTCAATGTCCCTGCTGAGTGAACCTCAGCAAAAGATATTCTAGCTTCATCTGAGTTTATAAAACAGAACAACGACGTGTCTTCACATGCAGAAATTCATGCCCCAAGAGGTTAAATGACTTGACCATATTCACACAGCCTAGGCTGATGGCAGCTGGAAGGCAGAGCTGGAGAGAGGGCCTGACGGGTCTGCCCCATCCCCTTTCCCCCAGAAGCCTGCAGCATCCAGGCAGCCGGAGCTGGGAGAGCTGGCTACGTTCCTGGGCCGCGTAGACCCGTGGTACCAGAGCAACGTCAACACGCTGTGCCCCGCCATCCACAAGCTGGCTGAGATGGTAGGGGAGGGTGAGGGTACCAGGGAGGGAGAGAGGGACGGGAGTGGGGTCTGGGCAGAGGGGAGAACGGAGGAGCCCAAGTAGGCAGCGAGGGTGAAATGGGGGTGAGAGGGGGCCATCTTTTTGCTGCTGCACTTGACCTTTGACCTTAAGAGTCAGGTGGGATGAGACATGAAGGGAATTCAAGACAGGGGCCCTAACCAGATAGTGGCTTTGAACTCACTCGGGACACTTACCAGGCTCGTACTTTGGACCAGACCACCGTGGAAAAGACGAAGTAAAATATTCCTTCGTAAGTGTGTAGGGCAGTTATACTCCTTCTTGTGTGAGCTTCCTGTGATCCTTTTTCTTTTTTTATCATTTATCTATTTATTTTTATTTTACTTCACGTTCTGGGATACATGTGCAGAACATGCAGGTTTGTTACACAGGTATACATGTGCCATGGTGGTTTGCTGCACCCATCAACCCCTTATCTAGGTTTTAAGCCCCGCATGCATTAGATATTTGTCCTAATGCTCTCCCTTCCCTTGCCCCCAACCCCCAGACAGGCCCCGGTGTGTGATGTTCCACTCCCTGTGTCCATGTGTTCTCATTGTTCAGCTCCCACTTACGAGTGAGAACATGTGGTGTTTGGTTTTCTGTTCCTATGTTAGTTTGCTGAGAATGATGGTTTCCAGCTTCACCATGTCCCTGAAAAGGACATTAACTCACTCTTTTTTTATGGCTGCATAGTATTCCATGGTGTATATGTGCCACAATTTCTTTGTCCTGTCTATCATTGATGGGCATTTGGGCTGGTTCCAAGTCTTTGCTATTGTAAATAGTGCCACAATAAACATACGTGTGCATGTGTCTTTATAGTGGAATGAATCATTTTTCAATGATTGTAACAGCTGATGTTTCCTGAGCACTTATGCTGCACTGGGCACTGTTCTAAACACTTACACACAGGGCAGCTCATTTAATTCCCACAGCAGCCCAGAGGCAGGTGCCCCTGTTGGTAGGTACCATTGTCACCATAGCCCCGTTTTACAGATAGAGCAGCTGAGGCACAAAGAGATTAAGTATCTTGCCTGAAGTCACAGAATGAGTGGTGGAATGCCAGTTGGAAACAGGCAGCTTGACTCCAGAGCACCCTCTCCTAACCACAAACCCACACTGCCATACCCCAACCGTGGCTGGCAGTGGGGAGGGAACTCATCTTTTACTGATTTGAAAGGGCTTTTATATAGTAAGAGAATTCTAACTTTTTTGTTGTTACATATGTTGCAGATTTTTTTCCCATAGTTGTAACTTGCCTATCCACTTTTTGACTTGCAGAAGTTTAATACTTGGGTGTAGTCAGACATAGCACTTTTATTCTTTACAGTTTCTGCCTTTGGAGTCATGCTTCCAAAAGCTTAAATAAATGTTCACTGATAATTTAACACTTTCCATGTCTCAATTTTTACATTTAATTAATTGTCTATCTGCAGTTAATTTTATTGTTTAATGTGAAGTATGTCATTTTATTTTTTCCAAATGTTGAGCTAGTTGTCCTAAAGCTATTTTGCATAAACCATCTTGCCGCAGAAATTTGAAATGCCACTTTTATCATTTGCTAAATACTTACGTGTACTTGTATTTAGTACATGATACTAACATGTGCTTGTATTTAGTACGTGATCCTTACATGTGCTTGTAAGTATTTAGTACATACCTATGCTCTCATTGATTTATTCATTTCTGTACAAATTAGCCTTTTGATATTTTAATATCTGGCTATAGAAGCCTGCCTACCCTATTATTCTTCTTTTTCAAAACTTTTCAGAATATGCTTATTTCTCTTCCTGATAAACTTTAGAATTTCAAGTTTTGTTTTTGTTATTATTTTTAATCCTATTGGATTTCGATTGAAATTTGGGGAGAATTAGCATCTTTCGCATATTGAGTTTTTCTCTCTAGGAGCATGGTGTAGCTCTTCATTTGTCCAAGTGTCCTTATATATCCCTCAGTATAAGTGTAAAGTTTGCGTCATACAGCTTCTGTCCAATTCTCACTAAATTTATTACTCGTGTGTGATAGTGTTTCTTACTATTGCGAATGGTATCTTTATGCCATTATATTTGGGTAGTGCCTGCTGCTAATATAAAAGAAAGCTATTGACTTATACACATTTATTTACTTTAGTTTTAAAAACTGCGGTAAAAAATATAACATTAATTTACCACTTTTACATATCTGTTTTTTAACTTGTCACTGTACTGAGCTCTCCATTTTGCTTTATCATTTGACTGATGAGGGTGTCTTCTTACATATTTTATTCGAATAAGGATATTTAGGGGTGCACATTTTCTGGCTTATACCTGATCCGAAAATGTCTTTGCATACACACAAAGACCATTTAGCTGGGTATTAAAATACTTTTTCCTTGAAACTTGGATGCTATTACAGTGGGAACATTTGATGCAGGCCCCATTGGTGCTCCTTTGCTGGTAGCTATTTTTCTCCGCTGGGACACTGTAAGGTTTTGGTTTTCCCCTTCTCCTTGTAATTAACAATTTGAATGGCCCTATGCTTACTCCAAAAGCGGTTTCCACATGAAGATACCAGAAACAATGTGAGCAATGACAGCATTATTAGACTACGTTCATAGCTCCTCAGTGTGACCCTTTCGAAGGGAACAATATTTCAGTACACCAGATGTGAGAGATAGAAGAGGTCTTAGAGGATCGGATATGAGTT